>NC_000023.11:36046764-36197121 GCF_000001405.40 Homo sapiens
TTGAGGATTCAAAAAAATGAAATATACATTTAAAGCCAATGACTGGCAGGTATTTTGAGCTAATGAAACATTTTTTTTATTTTAAACAGAAATTCAACTCTATGTGTCCAGATTCCCACAGTAAGGCTTCTTGATGGTGAAGAGATTCACCCTCTTTCTGTGAAATTTCCAAAAGGCAGAGTCATCCCAGGCTCTCACAGTGGAATTAATAATAAGCTCACTTGCCACCTCAGTTTCAAGTCATCTAAACCTGTGTCATTTTTTACCAATCTTCTTTTCTGTGATGACAGAAAAAACTGGTAAGATATCTAAATGTACATTATTTTGTATCTGACATTAAAGAATAACATATTTATATTTTACACCATGGTAAAATGTTAAAAAGAGAGGGATCTAATATAATAACCTTGGACATAAAGATTATTTCTAAAATTCCAAATGTAAGTGCGCTCTCACAAAAAGCAGCATAATAGTGGCTACCAATTTATACTCTGGAGCTAGACTGCCTGGGGTCAAATCCAGGCTTTGTTAACATTACTTCTGAGACTCTCAGTTTCCTCATCTATGAAATGGAGCTAATAGCAGAACCTATCCCATCTGTCATCATGAAAAGTACAGTGAGTTAGTAATTATTGAGCAATTGGACAGGAAATAACCCAAAGGAAATGCTAAATAAGTGTCAACTGAAAGTGAGAAATATCAACATAATGATTTCCCTACAATATAGCTTTGTTGCATGTTACTTTAACGGGGTGAGGAGATTTCAAATACATCTTGGTAAAATGATATTTCTGGATATCTTATCTTATAGGACCAGAAATACCATTTTTACATCATATCCTGAAATAACTTGACTAACTAAATGGCAAGAGGTTGAAGTGTAGAGCTATAAAGTTTGTTTAAAAGGCTTATAATGAAAAGTAAAATTAGTGTCAGAGTATGTTCTCTATGTGCTCATTTATTAACATTTAGAGGCGTCATTTGTATATTTGTAGTTAAAGGACTGATTCATGTGTTTGGCATTAGGAGAGGGACATCTCTCTTCTTAATACATAGAAATATCTTCTTCTTAATACATCATATTTCACAACATCCCATTTCAATCATCAGCAGATTTGTGATAAATTAGAGCTATTGGAACTAATTTAGAAACTTTGCAAATCATAGATGAGCAACAAAAGACTTTTCTGTACACCCAGATAAACAAGGCACTAAGGCCATAAGCATTCCCCAGAGCCTTAATACTGGCAAATCCTTTTACTGGTGACTGGTTAACTCCTTATCTGGTTTTCTACAGTGAATATGATCAGATCCTCTTACTCTTCTCTACTCTCCAATGCTGTCCTTGCCTTTCTCTCTTTAGGCATACCATTTCTGATCTCATTGAGATAAATGAGGTCTTCCAGAAAGGAATTCCTCAAGAGCTTCCTTTTCATTTTAGAATTTCTATGAAATAAATTATACTCATTTATTATTGGTAATCTATTAGCATATATTTATTGTAGGCAAACCATGTGTGTACTCTGCCCAAGATTTAGGTAAAGAAAGGGGGCAAATCCTTGATGGATGTCAGTGTGTTAGGTTTTTTGCCCTATGTTGAAGCCTTTATTTGCATCTGGTTTGTTCATATGGAAGCCCATGGGCCTAATTAAAAATATAAGACTGATTTCTTGATTTTTTTGCTTTCTTTTACTTTGTAAGATTCTTTCATAATGTGGCTTCTCTTGGGGGCCAACATGCTTGGCTTTTAATTTTGTTTTCTTTAGATTTTGTCACATTTGGATTGGCCCAACCAGCTGGAAATCTGTGAATAATAGCAGGAATAAATATTTTCTGCTAATCTGTCTGCTTTCCCATCCACAATAATGTGCTCCCAGCTCAGAGATTGTACACCCTACTTGCGTCTTACCCAAATTCCCCAAAAAGTCTGGGGATAGAAGTTTTATTCAATTGGTGCAAAAGCAATTGCAGTTTTTGCCATTATTTTCAATGTCAGAAAAACCACAATTACTTTTGCATCAACCTAAATATATATCTGTGTGAGAAATGGTGATGTGAATAAGGAGTATTATAAACAGTAAAATGAAGCATGAGGTATGGAGGCTAAAGCAACCCATATTTTAATGGCATTTTTGGTGTTACGGTTTGGTGAATTCTGGCAAGACTTAGCTGGGGATGAAACTGAAAAGGCAGCAGGAACAGATTATGAAAGTCGTCCATGCTCTGCTTTGCTATCCATGAGTGAGAAATAGGGTGAGAACCAGGAGAGTGTGATGTTATGGATATCAAGTTTGAACAAATACAGGAAGCATAAGGTCTACAGCTATTAATTAATACAAGTCAGGTACTACTCATAGGCTAGATCTCATGGAATCCGCACAATAGTCCTGAGAAGTGGGGTTTTTTTTCTTTTTTTTTGTTTCTAGATTATCATCTCTGTTTTATAGAAGAGGAATCTAAGGCTCACAGTGTGACCTAACTTGTCCAAGCTCACTCAAACATTAAATGGGGGAGCCAAGAATGTAAACCATATTTTGGTTTCCAAAGATTTTCCACTTAGTCACCTTATTTTAAATACCATTTAGACTATAAATAATTATATAGAAATTTTTATAATAAGCATATGTTTTCGAGGGTTACACTACTATATGTCATATATAGATTTTCCAAAGAATAAGAGATGTTTTCTTTCTTTCTTACTCTTCTGCATGTATTTCTCTCTCTCACACACACACACACACACACACACACACACACACACACTAGTGAAACTTCTGTGTTCCACATATAGTAATGATAGAATTACAGTCTACTCAATAAGTACTGAGGCATTATTAATTTATTTTGCTCAATATATTAATTAATGAGGCAAAATCTCATGAATCGTCTCTATGGTTATAGAATAAAATCAAACAAATATGAAATGTGACTGTGTATTCAAAGAACGTAGTTGTTGTGGTTCCAATGACATCAGGAGCAATGGACCCGCACATTTGTTATTGGCCGGTGTTCAGAAGTGTTAGTGTCTCATACAGTTTGGCTGTGTCCCCACCTAAATTTCATCTTGAATTGTAGCTCTTATAATCCCCACATGTCATGGGAGGGACCCAGTAGGAGGTAATTGAATAATGGGGGTGAGTTATCCTGTGCTGTTCATGTGATAGTGAATAAGTCTCATGAGACCTGATGGTTTTATAAAGGACAGTTCCCCTGCACGCTCTCTCTTGCCTGCCACCATGTGAGATGTGCCTTTGCTTCTCCTTCACTTTCTGCCATGATTGCGAGGCCTCCCCAGCCATGTGGAACTGTGAGTCCATTAAACCTCTTTTTCTTCATAAATTGCCCCATGTTGGTATTTCTTCAGAGCAGTATGAAAATGGACTAATACGGTAAATTGGTACCACAGAGAGTGGGGTGCTGCTATAAAGATAGCCAAAAATGTGGAAGTGACTTTGGAACTGGGTAACAGGCAGAGGTTGGAACAGTTTGGAGGGCTCAGAAGAAGATAGAAAAATGTGTGAAAAGTTGGAACTTCCTAGAGACTTGGAGGGCTCAGAAGACAGGAAGTTGTAGGAAAGTTTGGAACTTTCTAGAGACTTGTTGAATAGCTTAGACCAAAATGCTGATTGTGATATGGACAACAAAGTTCAGGCTGAGGTGGTCTCAGATGGAGGTAAGGAACTTGTTGAGGACTGGAGTAAAGGTCCCTCTTGCCATGCAAAGGGACTGATGGGATTTTGCCCCTGCGCTAGAGATCTGTGAAACTTTAAACTTGAGAGAGACGATTTAGGGTATCTGGCAGAAGAAATTTCTAAGTGGCAAAGTGTTCAAGAGGAAGCAGAGAATAAAAGTTTGAAAAATTTGCAGCCTGATACTGCAGTAGAATAGAAAAACCCATTTTCTGTGGAGAAGTTCAAGTCAGCAGCATAAATCTGCATAACTAACAAGGAGCCAAATGTTGATCACCAAGACAATGGGGAAAATGTCTCTAGGGCATGTCAGAGATCTTCACAGCAGCCCTCCCATCACAGGCCTGGATGCCTAAGAGGGAAAAATGGTTTCCTGAGCCAGGTCCAGGGTACCCCTGCTGTGTGCAGCCTAGGGATGAGATGCCCTGTGTCCCAGCTGCTCCAGCTATGGCTAAAAGGGGTCAAGGTATAGCTTAGGCCATGGCTTCAGAGGGTGCAAGTCCCAAGCCTTGGCAGCTTCCATGTGGTTTTGAACCTGCAGGTGCACAGAAGTCAAGAGTCAAGGTTTGGGAACCTTCCCCTAGATTTCGGATGATTTATGTAATCACCTGGATGTCCAGGCAGCAGTTTGCTGCAGGGTGGAGCCCTTATGAAGAACCTCTGCTAGGGCAGTGTGGAAGGGAAATGTGGAATCAGAGCCCCCACACAGAGTCCCCACTGGGGCACTGCCTAGGAGAGCTGTGAGAAGAGGCCCACCATCCTCCAGACCCCAGATCCACCATCCTCCAGACCCCAGATCCACCATCTTCCAGCCCCTAGATCCACTGACAGCTTGCACCATGCACCTGGAAAAGTTGCAGACCCTCAATGCCAGCCCATGAAAGCAGCCAGAAGGGGGGCTGTAACCTGCAATGCCACAGGGGTGGAGCTGCTCAAGACCATGGGAACCCATCTCTTGTATCAGTGTGACCTGGATGTGAGACATGGAGTCAAAGGAGATCATTTTGGAGCTTTAAGATTTGCCTGCCCTGCTGGATTTTGGACTTGCATGAGGCCTGTAGCCCCTTTGTTTTGGCTAATTTCTCCCACTTGGAATGGCTGTATTTACCCAATACCTGTCCCCCATTATATCTAGGAAGTAATTAACTTGTTTCTGATTTTACAAGCTAAGCGGTGGAAGGGACTTGCCTTATATCAGATGAGACTTTGACTGTGGAATTTTGAGTTAATGCTGAAATGAGTTAAGACTTTGGGGGACTGTTGGGAAGGCATGATTGGTTTTAAAATGTGAGGACATGAGATTTGAGAGGGGCCATGGGTGGAATGATGTGGTTTGGCTATGTCTCTACCCAAAGCTTATCTTAAATTGTAGCTCCCATAATCCCCATATGTCATGGGAGGGACCCAGTCAGAGGTAATTGAATCAGGGGGGTGGGTTTTTTCTTGCTGTTCTCATGATAGTGAATAAGTCTCACAAGACCTGATGGTTTTATGAAGGGCAGTTCTCTTGCACACACTCTCTTGCCTGCCGCCATGTGAGATGTGTTTTGCTTCTCCTTTGCCTTCCACCATGATTGTGAGGCCTCCCCAGCCATGTGGAACTGTGAGTCCATTAAACCTCTTTTTCTTTAAATATTACCCAGCCTTGGGTATTTCTTCATACAGTATGAAAATGGACTAATACAGTGTCATTAACAGCAAAGCTAATATTGAAGTGTCTGCTCTATGAATTTATTGGCACAGAAACTCCTGGAAAGTACCTGATTTAGTTGTCCACTCAAAGCCAATAAAAATTGATTGTTTTCCTAATCATGGATGAGATATAGCATAGTAGAATGATTGACCTTTTCTTAAAAATAACTAACCACATTCTTGCTTAATTTTGCAAGTTGCCACATTTGAGGAACTGGATTATATATATCCTCTGCCTTTAAAACAGGTACAATAAAATTTTGCACATAAAGATAAATTAATGCATTTATAAGTGTTTTAAATAATAAAAATTAGAATTCTTACATTTTTCATTGAGGTTTTAATTAATCAATACATTCAGACTTTAGAGATAAAACTCATAGACTTTGTTGCAAATGTACTTAACATTTTTCTGATGAGAAATATATTTTTAAATAGGCAGGTCTGATGTTTAAAACTGAGAATATACAGCTGTTAATTATATTAGCTCTTTTCCTCTATTCAGTAGCATTTTATCAACCATGTTATGGGTTTATAAACAACTTTTGCTGCATAATAAAGCTTCTTATACTTACTCTCATTGACAATCACTTAAATGGAAATTATACTATTTTTAGAAAGCATTCAATACAATTAGAAAGAATTGAGGAATAATGAAGGTAATTCTAAATATTGTTCTGCTCAGTGCATAATTTGGCATTTGGGTAGAGTGTGCTTGGCACCATTGGGTCAGTCCCTAGTGCTTTAAAATGTATATTTAGCATGCCTCTTTCAGATACCTTCCTGTTTTTGAATGGATAGGAAACTGCATCACATAAAGGAGGCTAGCAGAGAATGAATCAGATCCAGAGTCAAATCAGTTTGAAAGCACTTATTCACTCAAGTTGGCAATGCTACCTTAGGAACTGTAGTGTAAACTAATACCTGCTTTTTATGTGCCTTTTTGGGATATTTGATATTGGATATTTAAAATAAGTATGTAGATATATTTGAATATATATTTAAATTAAGGCTTATAATAAGCAAGTAATGTGAGTTGCGTACCTCTGAGGGATACTACCAGGTAGCTACAGGCAACTTTTGAGGTACTCAAAGCTCTCCTTATGGATTAAGAAGAATTACTAAGGATAGATTCATCTTTTGGAGACTCCATTCTTAATGCAAACCATTTACAATGGTCCATCTCAAATTTTAGCATCATGGCAACAAAAGGCAGGCAATGGGAAATCTTAGTATCCATTTAATTGTTCATAACTGAAGTCAGTATGGTAATATTACCTCAAAACATTATTTGTCATGGTTTGGGGGGATGAGTTATGCATAATACCATACACTTGTCCACCTTCCTTAGTGTTGTGTGTGTAGATAGAATAAGCAGTGAGGAAGGGAGTAGAGTTCACATGAGACCGCTCTGTGTTCTGATATAATCATCTGCTCTGTATTCTTTGTCCTAGCCCTGTGAAAAGCTGTTTGTAATGGCACCTTCATCCTACAAAGAACATTATTTTCATG
Organism: Homo sapiens; assembly: GCF_000001405.40. Lineage (NCBI taxonomy): Eukaryota > Metazoa > Chordata > Mammalia > Primates > Hominidae > Homo > Homo sapiens. Next base: position 36,053,658 of record NC_000023.11, read on the forward strand.
GTTAATCTATTCAAACAAACCATAGTCTCTATACAAGGTAGAATGTTTCATTTATATTTAACAAAAAATATAATACTGGTGTGTCATAATACACTATAAATATACGATGTTCATAACTGGAAGTTATTCATCGTTTACTTGTAGCCAAATGGTGGAGTTTAAAATTTGCATAGAAATGCAAAAGCTGAGAAACTGTCAAGGTAATATTTACCACATCTTCCCAGATTATTAAAATTATAGTACTGTTAACACCAGGTAGCAGAATAAAAGAGTTAACCACAGATGTAGTTTTTCTAATATCCTTCTTTTTCTTTTCTCTAACCCCATCCTCTTTGGGATCTGTGAAGTTGGTTGGAGAACCTCTGCCTTGCTTAGAGATTTTTCATTTTAAAGGAAATTCCAATGTCTTGTCCTCTTTATCTCCCTTACTGGTTGTGAGCACCTTCCTGGTTGCTGTTCTTCACAGAACTCCTAGAAGGTGGATGCCCATGCAGTCAACGGCTACCTTAGGACCTCCTAGTACAGCCCTCTCCATCTCATCTTCCTCAGACCCACCCCCACTGTGGCTACCCAGTTTCTCACCTATTTGTAAATCTGAACTGATTACTCAATAAATTACCTAGCCATTAGTTATCCATAAGTGTTGCTGTCTATAATTTGGGCATTTCATATTAGATAGGTGATATTTAAATGTATGCTTTATGCTTACAAAGGGTGTTATTAGAAATCAAAATGCATTTACTTCATGTTAAAAAGAAAAGAATAATGTGTACAATTAAATTAAATATTTTTTCTGTTTAAAAATTTCTGTTCAACTTAAAACCAACTTTATTATATCAATTCTTCATTTAAATATTTTATTAAATGTATTGAATGGTTTTCTCTTAATGTCCTTAATTTTATGTAATTTAATTATTTAAATCTATTTAACATTTACCTTTATCCTGAACATTTTTAGTTTTTTCAACCAAATAGAAACCAATATAAAAAATGCTTTTGTAATACGGTTTTCAGAATTTCAGCAGACTTAAAATTCATCATTTTAATGCTTGAAAGTTATTTAAAGATGAATATTATTATAAAGAATCTTAGAGAACTCATTCAAGCTCTTACTATTTTTTCTCTTTTTTTTTGAGATGGAGTCTCGCTCTGTCACCCAGGCTGGAGTGCAGTCGTGTGATCTTGGCTCACTGCAAGTTCCGCCTCCCGGGTTCACGCCATTCTCCTGCCTCAGCTTCCCGAGTACCTGGGACTACAGGCGCCCGCCACCACGCCCAGCTAATTTTTTGTATTTTTAGTAGAGATGGGGTTTCACCGTGTTAGCCAGGATGGTCTCGATCTCCTGACCTCATGATCCACCCGCCTCGGCCTCCCAAAGTGCTGGGATTACAGGTGGGATTACAGGCGTGAGCCACCATGCCCGGCCAGCTCTTAGTATTTTTTCTTATTTTTTTTTTTAATTTAACACCATGTAGACATGGTCAGTTTATTTATTTATTTATTTTTCTTCAATTTTTATTTTAATTTCAGGGGTACATGTGCAGGATGCGCAGGCTTGTTACATAGACAAATGTGTGCCATGGTGGTTTGCTACACAGATCAACTCATCACATAGGTATTAAGCCCATTATCCATTAGCTATTCCTGAAGCTTTCTCTCCCCCTGCTCCCCACTGACAGGCCCCAGTGTGTGTTGTTCCCTAGCATGTGTCCATGTGTTCCCATCATTCAGTTCCCACTTATAAGTGAGAACATGTGTTTGTTGTTTGGTTTTCTGTTCCTGCATTAGTTTGCTGAGCATAACGGCTTCCAGCTCCATCCATGTCCCTGCAAAGGACATGATCTCCTTCCTTTTTGTGGCTGCATAGTATTCCATGGTGTATATGTACCACATTTTCTTTATCCAGTCTATCGTTGATGGGCATTTGAGTTGATTCCATGTCTTTGCTATTGTGAATAGTGCTGCAGTGAACATACATGTGCATATGTCTTTATAACAGAATGATTTATATTCCTTTGGATATATACCCAGTAATGGGATTGCTGCATCAAATGGTATTTCTGCTTCTAGATCTTTGAGGAATCACCACAATGGTTAAACTAATTTACATTTCCACCAACAGTGTAAAAGTACTCCTTTTTCTCCACACCCTCACCAGCATCTGTTGTTTCTTGACTTTTTAATAATCGCCATTCTGACTGGCGTGAGATGGTATCTCATTGCAGTTTTGATTTGCATTTCTCTAATGACCAGTGATGTTGAGCTTTTTTTTTTCATGTTTGTGGGCTGCATGAATGTCTTCTTTTGAGAAGTGTCTGTTTATGTCCTTTGCCCATTTTTTAATGGGGTTGTTTTTTTCTTGTAGATTTCTTTAAGTTCCTTGTACACTCTGGATATTAGTACTTTGTCAGATGGACAGACTGCAAAATTTTTTCTGCCATTCTGTAGGTTGTCTGCTCATTCTGATGATAGTTTATTTTCAAGCTCTTACTTTCAAAATAAAAGTATCATCTACTTGCATTGTGGTGGTTCCTACTGGATGAAACCATAACTTTAAAAACCATAATGCATCATCTTGGTAATTAGTATCCTAACAATATGTATAAAAAAAGAGTGATATGTGACATATACAACATGGGTTGACTAATGAATAAGAATTGGCTATGAGCAAAATTGACCAAGAAGGGCATTTCATATTTATACTCGATAGAATTTCAAGTAATGCCTGAAGAAGCTGTGCTTTACAAAGGGCTTCGCAGACTTACAAGGATATGAAATCCTCAAGTGGCTACTCAGTCTCTCCTCACTTAAGGAAGGCTGCTCAAATGGTGTACTGACCAGCGTGTATCTCTCTGTCCTAAAACACACCAAAAGCACCAAGTGTGTGGGGTTGGCAAATGATACAGCTTGCTATAATGGGTGATCACAACTGTTAGATTTTTTTATGATTTGGAAATTAGGATAAAAATGAGTTGATTAATTTGAAATATGTGGAACTGAACTTGCCAGATGCCTTTTCATGTTAGCACTTGGTGCTTAGCTATGTGAAATGCTATCAGCTACCTGCCTCCTTTTGTCAGTTCCTACAGGATCTTTCTCAGCTGAAGAGTGCCACCTTGACTAAGGTGACACCCTATCAGGCAAGTCTGCCTCTTTTAACTGATTAAGACATGTTTAGAGGACTACACATTTCAGCCTGATACCAGAAACTTTGAAAGGCAATCCAGAGCTCCCAGCCTGGTTGAACAAGTCCTCACTGGGCTTGCATAGCTGTTCTACTTCATTCTGTTCTTCATTTGGTTCCATCTCCATTTCTTACACGTGTTACTCCCTAATAATCCTCTTAAACTCCAAACTGTCTGCTTCTAGAAAACTCAACCTATGACAATTAGGGATTGAATGTTATACATGTAGGATCCCCACTGATGTCTAAAGTAGTTTTTTTTTTCCAGTAGCTCAAATGTATCACAGATGAGGATGTCAATTTCTCCATCCATCCATACACTCATATTGCAGTCTTTTTTACATGCTGTATGCTTATCTTTGCATTTAAGAGGCTAGACATAATGAGTAAGATATTTATGTGCAAGGTAATTATGACAAAGGGCAGAAGTAAAGAGACCAATGAATAAGCTATTCCAGGTTGATGCTGTGCAAATGTGCAGAATTAGAGTGGTGGTTGTTAGAATGAAAATTAAACTGTGAATGGGAAAGAAGAAGTCATTTTGATGGAATAAATATTAGGACATGGTGATTGATAGCAAGTCAAACATCAACAACCCTGTGAAATAAAAGAAAATAAAAAGGCAGCATATATACATGTCAATTTTGTGCTACACCTTCACAAATCAGTCTTCATAGCTGACTCTAGTTTGTTTTGTGTAATGGAATATTTATTAACTTTTGTTAAAAAATACCCTATATTCTACTAAAAATATAGACCTTGCAGTGATTGGTAAAACTGCAAACCTTCTAAGTCAATTTATTGAAACGGGCATGCAAATTCATTATGTTTTATAATTTTTTTAATGCCTCTCTTTCCTCCCATACTCACCCTCTGTTATTCTCTTGGCAACTGTTTTCCTCAGGCTTATTACAATTTAAACATTTTGTTTCCAAATTACTAAATCTGGAAGCAAATGTTAGCCCCATAATCTTAATAGTATTCTATGTAACTGTGAGAATCAGTCTCCAACAGCACCAACCTAAGCTTTTGTAGCCAGAACATGGGTGTTTATGACCTTTTCCAGTAGTTTGCTGGGCATGGTACTTTCCTATTACTACTGGATAAGTGTACATAAAGAAGCATCAATGGCAGGAAGTTGGATTTAATTCTTCCATGCTGAAATGCAAATAGTACTTCAGAATTCTACTTTAAGGCTTGAAGTGACATCTGACTTCCATGAACATTAAATGATTTTTATTTCAGTCTTGCATAAACTAATGAAATATTAGCATGATTTATTTTCTGCTACATTCAAACTGAAGAGCTGTGATCTCATTCTTTTCAATTCCTGCATGCTTTTTAAGCTCAAACCATTTGCCAGCCACTCTACATGAAAATACTTACATTTTATTACCTGTTTTTTGAGAAAACATATCACCAAACATTACTATAAATTCAGATAAACTCTAAAGTAAAATGTAATTGTATTACCTCTTAGAGTATATAATGACATTTGTAAAGTCATTTTAAAAGACGTATTAAAAATTATTTATCAAACTGACTGTTTTGCAGGTACACCCTCAGCTGCTTTGTAAGAGTCTGCAGCCTAGAAATTGGGAACCATTTTCATAGATTACAGAAACAGTAGTTTTACCATTCCGAGTCTGTTACTAATAATGCAGTTATATTTTGGATGGATTTTACTGACCTCTCATTTGAAAGGAACAATACAACACAATATGTGAACTTTATTTTTATTAAGTTCACACATCTTTCTATTATTGCCCTTATATCCAATGGGGACATTATAAAAGAGATCATCTAACTCTGGAAAAATCAATGAGATAAGAGAGTATTTTATGCTGTGTTGAATATATTGTAGTTCCTAATTGATTTATTTTGCCCTTCCCTTTTGTACCATTTTCTTATTGCCGGGAGTTCCCAGCTGAGGCACTCACCCATATGCAATCATATTCCCTTTGAAAGTGATGTCAGATCGTCTGCTAACTTCCTAATTTCCTATGGTCATTTCATCATGTCCTAGTTGATCTCTAATAGCTGAGCCCTTGCTTAAATGTTAATAGCTAATCTTCAAGCTACTAATTTATAATCAACAAATATTCTTTCGGATTGTACTGCTCTAACTAATGAGAATACATATTTCATGATAGGAATTCAGACCATTGGCCAGACAGTTGGGAAAATAATTTTAACAAGTATTTCTATCAGAGGAAGTTTAACATTACACGGAGTTAATGTCCTTCAACTTTTAAGGCCAGTTCTGACCTTGTTTTTGTGCTATTCTTTGTTTATAAAAAAATTAGAATCGAGCCATTTCAAAGTATAACTATTCCTTTTTAATTAGTTATATATATCCTGAAATCTCCTAAGAGATATAAGGAGAAGAGCCTGTAAAAAGCATGGTTTGGATAGGTCATTCCTGTCTTATAAAGTCAATAAAGTGCACTACACTATTCTTGGAATGAAAATAACAATGATCTTACTGTTTTGTGTGACTTCATATCATCATGTCGGAGTTTTAGTGTTTGGTTCCATCAGGCTGCAAATATTAACCCATATAGGGTATGTAATAGCTAGTGCCTATGCTCTAAGTTCTGTGAAATTAACCTTCAAGTAGATAAGCATGCAAACAGTAGAACAGCTAATGATTAGAAATAATTTTTCTTTGTTAGGCATTGCTGTACTTATTGCATTACAGGTCAAGGCGTGATATTTAGCAGTTCTACTCTTTGAGGTAAAGACACAGCCATTTAATATGTTAATCTCTTTCTGATTAAAGTTTAGATTCCTTCTGTGTATTTTTAGAATATAATACATGTATATGCCTTCATAAAAACACAAACATAAGGTTTATACATTAATAATGTGTATATCTGTGCATATGCACTAGTAAGTTTGCTATGATTTGGATATGGTTTGTTTGGCCCTGTCAAATCTTATGTTGAAATTTTATCCCCCGTATTGGAGATGGGGCCTAATGCGAATTGTTTAGGTCATGGAGTGGTTTCCTCATGAATGGCTAGGTGCTGTCCTTCAGGTAATGATTGAGTTCTCGCTCTGTTAGTACCCAGGATAGTTCCCATGTGAGCTGATTCTTAAAAGGAGCCTAGCACCTCACTCCTCCCTCTCTTCCTTCCTCTCTCACCATGTGATCTGTACACACTGGCTCTTCTTTGCCTTTCACCATGAATGGAAGGAGCCTGAGGCCCTCACCAGAAGCATATACTGTTTCCATGCTTTTTGTACACCCTGCAGAACCATGAGCCATATAAATCTCTTTATAAATTACCTAACCTCAGGTGTTTCTTATAGAAATGCAAACAGACTAAGACAATGTCCATGTATTTCTGTGCACGTGTGTGTGTGTGAACATATATATATACACAAAATATAATATTTCTAAGTATAAACATTTTAGAAGTGATAAATTTTACTTTTTGCCCCAATTCCTTCCTGGAAACTTCATTTGAAACAGCATTAAAAATCTGTTATATTTTCTTATAAAATCACTGAATTACAAATAAAACACATACTGATGTATACTGATTGATGTTAACACAATTTAAAATTGTGCAAATAGACCCTAAAGAGAGATTTTGAAATTTCAAAAATGTTTTACATGAATTATAGCATCATTTCCAGAGAAAAAGGCATACTACCAATGAGATGGTTCATGTGAAAAGAATTAATATACACCTATAGAATTGCTAAATGAACATATATTTCTATATTTGATGAATATCTATGGATCTCTCATGTGATCTGAAGAAGAATTCTCTTCCTTTATCTTACTCTGCTGTGGTACAAATCAATGGAAGACATTCATATGTGAAACATACTTCCTTGGACTTAGGGGGATTTAGAACCTAAAGTCTATTTTAGGGCACGAAATTGGTTCATAGCACATATTTTCTAGAATTATTAGTGTTTATAAATAACAATTTCTTGATGGGCTACAGCTAACATATTATGGGTTATTGCAATGCCCAGAAGAGCAGCTATAACTTTACTCCCTTCCTCCTCCTCATTCAAGTTAAAGACACTGAAAAACAAGTGACAATCACATTATAATAAAAAGTATGTCCAGTCTGTTTTTATCTGTTAGAAATAAATAAATAAGTCCAGACTTTGCGATATGGTTTGGATTAGTGTCTCTGCCCAAATCTCATGTGGAATTGTAAGCCCCAATATTGGAGGAGGGGCCCTGTGGGAGGTAATTGGATCAAGGGGGTAGATTTCCCCCTTGCTGTTCTCGCAGTAGTGAGTTCTCACAAGATCTGGTTGTTTAAAAGTGTGTAGCATCTCCCACTGCCCTCTCTTCCTCCTTCTCCGGCCGTGTAAGACAGGCCTGCTTCCTCTTCACCTTCTGCCATCACTGTAAGTTTCTTGAGGCCTCCCCAGGCATGCCCTCCTGTACAGCGTGCAGAACTGTGAGTCTATTAAACCTTTTTCTTCATAAATTGCCCAACCTCAGGTAGTTCTTTATAGCAATACGAGAATGAACTAATACACTTCGTAACTCTATTACTGATTAACAACATGACATATGATGTCCTCACTTGTGATCAAGAGATTCTTGTGTCTGGCAACATAATGAATGAGCTCTACTCATACTCAATGAGCTCTATGTATGTTATAAATATACATAAGAGCACCAGGATTAAAATTCTTTTGTCCCATCAATTGACTTAATTGACATGAAGTAATAGCTATAGCAAGTGTTAGATATTTAAGACACATATCAATGGATTTTTGTGCATGTGAGTAAAGTTACATATGAAATATTTTGCTAATGGTTATTGAAATTGAGAAAAATTGTAAATAGGTATGGATAAACCACATCAGAATGGTTGCTCAAGGAAGTTTGTTTTGTGTAATAAATTTCCCTGAAGGAAATATAGTCATCTGAATTTATTCCATTGATTTTAAGTCTTTACCTAAATGCTATATGAATTCTGTAAGCATCTGTTTTTTATGGTGATGGGGGTGGTCATTGGTTTCACAATTTAAAGCATGTTCAAAACACCAACCCAGCATCTTTTCCTCTCCTTCACCTGTTGTTCACTTTATTCAAACCTATATACAGAAATATCGTTCCTTAATCAAAAGCAATGTTACCATAACCTCTTCTTTTAACCCTTCGTAGCCACTGCCAGTGTTACCAACATATAATTTTTTTTTCTAGCTGCTTTGCAGAAAAAAGTTTAGTCAGATAACCATAGTAAGACTAGAGAGACATGTTTCTATAAACCTGGAGGCTTTCTTGCTCTGTCCATTTCTCTGTGAATTAAAATCATGCTAAGTAAGATTGCTTTTAGAATGTAAGATCTGCCTTGAAATAGTATCGATGGGAGCAGAACTTTAGTAAAGATGATAAATATAATATCATGATATTTTTTATGATGTTGACATGTGTTTGACATGCCATCACGGTATTTTGTGTGCTAATGGGAAGTGCTAAAATATTATAAATACAAGGCAAAATATTATAAATACAAGGCCAGTTATCATGGAAATTTAACATGAAGCTTCAAAGTTTTATTCCTAAAAATTGCTCAGACAACCATAAAATCTCTCAGCCTCACTAATGATGTGGAAAGAATTAGTGATGTGTGATTAGAGTATTAATTATTCACTAGCTAATGACCAGAGAGATGAATTGTGAGACTTTTCACACCTTATTTAATGAATTGTATGTGGTCATCATACCATTCAATATCAAAATATGAAAGACTGGTGAGGAAAAGGATGTACACATGGTCTCCACATTTCATCCACAGAATACTTATTAATTTCCAAAAGAGAAATTTCCAGCATAGGAAAATCCGTAGACAGATTAGTTGTTTTCAGGGGCTGGGGGTGGGGTGGAGTTGCAAATAGAGAGTGACTGTTAAGCGGTAGAGAGTTTCATTTAAGGACAATGAAAATTTTCTAAAGTTAGATAATGGTGATGGTTGCCCAACTCTGTGATTATATTTTAAAAAAACACTGAATTGTACATCTTTAAAAGATGAATTTTATGGTATGTAAATTACATGTCTAATGCTGCTGTAAAAAGAAATGAAGACATCCGGTGGACACCACCATAACCAAATGACCAAACACAGTATTACTTATAACAGGAAACACGGCCAAAAATAGTACAAGCCCATTTACATTTTCATTAACATTCACATCGTATCTTTGACCCTCTTATTGCCAGGAATATTCATTCTGATTTTTACCCAGTAGAACTATTTTAAATCACATATGCCTGAGGTAGCTATTTAAATCTTATAATGGAATTGAAACTCATAACATCAAAGGGCCTTTTCATCTCATTGTTACTGTAATACTGAGTATTTTTTAGAGCAATTCCTCTGTCAGTAACCATTTGTGTCTGTATGCATTGGCATAGGGAATTCATAAATATTACCATTGTCCCCTGATGAAGTAACACAAATTGCTCTATTTCTCCAGAAATATTTTTATTAAAATATAGGCTATTGGTACTACCAACTGTATGTCCTTTTTTCTGTTTTAATATATTTTAATAGTAATATCAATGAGTGAAGTGTCCATAGTCCCATGCCATATTACTTGTATAATTTCTATATTATATGCTCTATGAAAAGAATGTGGTCAAGTCAGTTTTGTATATGTTTGGCTATTTTTTACCATGAGGAACATCTGAAATCAAATGTTATCTTCTGCAAACTAGGTTTGTAAGAGAAACAAATAAACATTATACTTATTTCCACTTCATTCTTGGAATAAAATTTATTTTCAGAATTATTTTCGTTAATTCTTTACCATTTTAGAAATATTTCAAGTGATAGTGTTTTTTTGGTTTGTTCATTTGGTAGTTGTCTTAGGGAACTTTGTCCACAAGCTCACTTTTAGATGATGATGCATGGGTCTGTGCATTAAGGAAATGTTCCCCCCACAAAAAACAAGTAATGGGGTAAGAGAAGTAGAAGAGGGAATTGATCACTCCAAATAAATGTGACATTTAAATCAAAATCTCAACAGCAACCTAATCCTGTAGGTTTCTCCAGAACTGAAATGACATCACAATTTTTGTTGTGATTGGGGTGATGGAGCTGAGATTTGAAACTTCCATACCCACAGGTGTTGGCTATGGGCCTGCCCCAGGGTACATCACAGGGGATATGAGTATAAGGGCAGAGCATCCACAGAATTTATTACAGTGGTCTTTTTTTCCTTCTGTAGTCATAGTTAAAACAAAAAGTAATATTTCTTATTCTATGTGGTAGTGATGATGGTGCCTGTATGTAAACTATGTTATTTAATCTAAAATTATTGGTTAAATATAGATAATTGGCTAATGAAATTTTGATTGATCACTATGTTTAACACAAGTGCACAATTTGTAGAAGTACTGATTTATGCTATCAAGGAAATTTAAGTTTAAGAATGATATCATATGGTAAAAATTACATATAGATATGAAATGTAATCCTGAATAAGGCTATCTGATACATGTGCTTAGGATCCATAGCAAAGAAAGATAAGGTTAGTGTTTGTTAACCAAGATGATGTTGAGTGTGTGTATTTTACATAAAATGTTAATATCAATGTTTATATCAATGTATAAAGAGAAAAATGTAGTTCCTTTCTTACTGGAAAATATTGTATGCAGAACTGAGGTGGAAATCATTCAGTTGCATGTAATATATGTTTACCATTAATTTACTTGATAACTCATTATATTTCAGCTATGAACATTTTTTTACTTTCATCCTATTCTATATTTACTTACAGTTACTTGCATTAAAACATGGGATTTTGGCATTTTACCTCAGCTAGTGACCATAAAGTACTAGTAGATGATAGATGGCTGATTCAACAGTGATATTTTCTTGGTATTCTATAATGCAGATCTGAAATTAATAAGGCAGTATTAAGGTGATATAGATATAAAATATAGCCCTTCTATTAAAAAATCAGTTGCACAAGAATAGAATTGTCATATAAGATAGACAGCCCAAATATAGTTTAAGAGTGTTTTGTGGTTGGTAAACATAATAAGACAATTTCACAATGCTTTCATAAAATAGAGTATGCAGGTTATAGAAGGTAATAGTACTCTGTACTTGTTGAATAACTTTTGCAGTATATATTGCTTTCAGTCCTCAGACACATTTAAAGAAGGACAAACAGAAAACAAAAGGTTATCTAAATAAATGAGACTGATATATAAGAGATTTGGAGACCTGGCAGTAGAAAGAATCCTTGAATGTTCTAAATTTCTGAAATCTGAACATAAACCTTAGAGAAAAAATAATGACTGTATTTAAATATTTGAAGAACTGTAATGGGGTTCAGATTGTAGGTTTTCTTCTATGTTGGGCTGGGACAGATCTAAAGTTACAGCTCTCCAGATATAAAATGGGCTGTTTCTGTGTTGTGAATGTCATCTGGTAGTGTCTCCCTAATAGCATCATCCAAGGCTACATACCATTTGTCAGGGACTCCATAGAAGAATGGAGTAAATTAACTATGAGACACCTTCAACTCTAAACTTTCCTGAATCTGTGTTTTTGCACCTGCACAGTTACAAGCTGTGTTCTATAGCACACTTGACAGTGAAATTTATACTATCTATTAAAATCTTTAGAAGTAAAAATTTTAAAAATCATTAACATTGAGTAGATGGTTAAAAAAACAAAGTAAGTAGAAAGAAAAAATGAATAAATCATGTCTTCATCATTAAGGGCATCTGGGATACTTAAATGCATGGCATTTACTGCATCTGAAATTTTTATTGTATTGAAATGCAATGTTTTCACTTTCAGGTTTTCACTTCCAGTTACTGCAACAGCAGAAAACTGCATTCTTACTATTTACCCATATATGGCAATTCATCTGGATAAGCAAAACATTATTTTAAAGAATGGTAAGCTATGTATGACTTATTTATCCCTAACTCTCACTGTATAGGTTCTTGGCCAACATCTAGAAATAAAGTGAATTTAAAATTATCAGTTGTTTATTAAACAGCTGCCTCTGATAGAAGCTGTGCTTGTCATTGAGAGTAGAATCTGTATGTCTCTTAATTCCAAAAGTTGACGATCTAGTTTGAATAGAATGATTTGGGCAAAAGACAATATAGCAGAAACATGCAGGTGTGACAGGAGGTGTAAGGCAGTAAATGTAGGTACAGGACCATAATGCTATGCCCTTTATTCTGTAGCAGTGGGAACCTTCTGTCATTTTTTGAGTATCAGTGTTTAGAAAGGGAACAATTCTTGGGATGTGTGATGAATTAAAGTGGGACAGAGTGTGGTCATTAGACCAGCCTGGAATTGCTGCAGGGGAAATTGTGAGAGAAGCTAAGAATACTAAACAAGCTAGTGAGCAGGGAGAAATATGAAAGGCAAGAAACAGGGGAGTACATTAGAGAAAGGAGGGAGAGTGGGTAACAAAAAAAAATCCCATCTGTGTAGATCGTCAAGGTCTTAATTTTCAGTGCTGAATTAGAGGTCTTTTGTTTGTTTTTAACCAATTTTCTCATATTCTTCACTTGTTTCTTCAAATATTTACAACTCTGATGAAACATATTTAGTCTTATTCTACCTTAATTTCAGGGGATGACTCTTTTTTCTTACTATTCAGAAGAAATAGAGGCCATTAAGCAGTACCACTCTGAACTTCCAAATACCCTCTTGGATTGGAACTGGATTGTGACAAGCAAGTCACAAGCATGTATCGTGACTCTTTTTACTGGTCACAAAGCTGGGAGCCAGGGCTCTCTCTTGCCTTAACTTATTCCTTTATCTGAATCCCTTTACCCAGGTACCTTCTCAATCAAGTAACCTTGCTTATCTTTTCATTTCTGTCTCCCTCTTAGCTGCTTTGAGTGAGCATCTAGGAAGACAGTAGAAAGGAGAAAGGAGACTGTATTTTCCCAGTGGCCAGCAGGCTCATTCCCAAAGAGCAAAAAGGGTAGCTTCAGGCCATGCATTCCTTATTAATTCTTTCCAAATCTAACAGTAAAATAAATCACTCAACTTCCCAGGGAGAAGGAGAAAAGCAGCAGAGGAAATTAAACAATTAGAAAACTTCAACTGCCTTTAACAGGAAAAAAAATTCAGGGGTAAGGAAGAAGAATTTATCCATTATGCTGCCATAACTAAACTACTGAGCACAGCTAACACTTGACTATTCTCTTTCTCCATCTTCAAACTTTCTCTGGGTTTCCACATACCATACTTCTTTTGGTCTCCTTTAACCTCTCTGACTGTTCCTTCTGAGCATCTTTCATAGATTCCTCCCTCTTCCTCTATCTGTACTTTTAAATTGTTTGTGTCAATAGGAGTTCTGACCCCTCTCTTCTTCCTTCCATGACTTCAGCTACAATCCATGGGCTATACCTCTAGCCTTGTTTCCTCTCAGAGATTCAGGAATTCAGAATTCAACTGTCTTCTGGATACCATTCTTTGTATTCCCATAGGCACCCCCAAAACAACATAACCCAAACTGAAGTCATCTCTCTGACATTTTTTTCTCTATATACCCCATCTCTATGTTTGTACCTATAGTCCATACAGGTGCCAAATCCGGAAACCTGAGTGCCATCATTGGCAATGTCTTCTCTCTCACACTCCACTTCCAGTCAACCAATTCCTGTCCCTTTTGCTGCCTAAATATTTATCAAATCCATTCACTTTTCTCCCTCTCCACTGCCACTACAAACATTCAAGCTGCCATAATACCTTTCCAGGGTTGTTGCAGGGGTTTCTAAACTGTTCTCCTTCCTCCTACAATGGTCTCCCCTTTCACATAGCTACCCTCAGAGAATGGCCACGGTGATTTTTTTTTTTTTTTTTCTTGGAGATGGAGTCTCGCTCTGTCTCCTAGGCTGGAGTGCAGTGGCATGATCTTGGCTCACTGCAAGCTCCGCCTCCCAAGTTCACGCCATTCTCCTGCCTCAGCCTCCCGAGAAGCTGGGACTACAGGTGCCCGCCACCATGGCCGGCTAATCTTTTTGTATTTTTAGTAGAGACGGGGTTTCACCGTGGTCTCAATCTCCTGACCTCGTGATCCGCCCACCTCGGCCTCCCAAAGTGCTGGGATTACAGGCGTGAGCCACCGCGCCTGGCCGCCACGGTGATATTTACAGACTGAAAATTCATTCTTTAATTCCCAGGTATAAAATCTTTCCATAGAATATCATTGCTAGGTGGATGAAGCCTACAAGACCACACATGTTAGCAAGTGGTTTAGTTGTCATTTCTGGACATTTTTCCCTTTATGCTCAAGCCACATTAATCTTCTGCAAGTTCTTTGAGCATCTTGATCTTTACTGATACTCTTTCTTGTGACTGGAGCATTTTACCCATGACACCGTACACAGTTATAGAAGATCCCTGCCTCTGCATGCAAAAATTATGTGTTTCTCTGGTGTATCCTCATAGCTCTGTGCAATTCTTCTGTCATAGCCCTTACTACATTTTGACTTAACCTGCCTATTATCAATGTCTTTTTCTAAATGTTGCTATCTATAAAGTCTGTGAGAGTAGGAATCACCTCTCTCTTTTTCACCCTTGTGTCCATAGTGCCTCACACAGTGTTTAGCAGATAAAAGGTATTTATTCAGTATTGTAAAATGGATTACTTGAATCATAAACCATCAGGAAGGCATCTTTTAGCTATATATTTTCATAAAAGAATGGGTTATATGTGAAATAGCATATTCTGAACACCAAAAAATTATTTTAAAGCAATTTATGGAATAATGCAGTTGGCAGAGTGGAGATATATAGGGAGAGATAGATATCTCAAAATTTTAACACACATTGTCAAAATGTAAAGATTTTTTTTTTTTTGGCCGGGCGCAGGGGCTCACGCCTGTAATCCCAGCACTTTTGGAGGCTGAAGCAGGCAGATCACAAGGTCAAGAGATCGAGACCATCCTGGCCAACATGGTGAAACCCCGTCTCTACTAAAAATACAAAAATTAGCTGGGTATGGGGGCACGTGCCTGTAATCCGAGCTACTCGGGAGGCTGAGGCAGGAGAATCACTTGAACCGAGGAGGCAGAGGTTGCAGTGAGCCAAGATCATGCCACTGCACTCCAGCCTGGCGACAGAGCGAGACTCCTCAATTAAAAAAAAAAAAAAAAGAAAAAAGATTTTTTTGACGAATATTGACATAATATTTTTATATTCCACTCTACTTCCAGGGGGAGGATTTCAGATTATACAACATAATAGTTATGAAGAGTCACACAAACTAGATGATGGCAATTCTCATTTGTGTTCTAACCACACTTTTATGCCATATGATTTTATCTTTTATTCTTAAATCTTCAAATTTACCATCTTTTATTAAGCAAAATGTACATGACAGAACAGTAATAGAATACTGATAATATCTGTTTTACCTATTTAAAAGGGCTTTTGTGAGGACCCATAGACTGCAAATACATGGAAATTATTGTTATGAATAATATTTCATTATTATTGCTATTATCACTGTGGTTGTGATTGCTTTATCATTTTTATATGCTTTATAATTTACTTCCAGAAAATAATGATTAATTACTGGGCAATAAATAATATTGTTATCTCTTTAAAATAAATAAATAAATAAAACCTTGTTGTTAGATTATTAAGCATAAAGTCTATGTGTGAAAATAATGCATCCATTTGGGGAAATATTTCAAAAGAAAGAAATTATAATTCTTAAATATCCTAAAACATCTTTAGAAATATATATAGTGATAATTTCTAATATATATTTAATGCTTACCAGGTATATGGTGCTCTGCTCAGTGCCTTATATTTGTCCTTTAAATTAGTCCTCCCAGAAGTTCTGAGTTAGATGCCCTTATATATCTCACTTTACAAATTAAAAATCTGAATATGTAGAGAGGGTGAGCAGCTTATCCCAGGGAATTCTAATGAAATTTGAGGCCTCAGCTCCCACACACTTTGGTAGTGTGTGCTAGGGTATGATATGATCAATAAAGGTAAAATCTTAAAATATATCAAGTATATCTAAAAGTAAAGCAGTATGATTATTTTAGTATAGTTCATCTGCAAAATTCTTTTAAAAAGTGAATTATTGAGTTTAGTTGAAAGTGTATAGATGTGGCTTTGCATTCCACTGGGAACTTTTTATCATTTAATGGCAAGTTAAAAACATTTAGCCTAATGCATCTACCACAAATAATTTTATCATTGAGTTCTCTGAGGCTCAATTCTATGAAGTCTATAGTGGTGTAGCATTCTGGAAATAATGCACACCTATTGACTACAGAGTCTCAGGCAAATTCTAAATGACTCTGTTATGAAAGAGTGCAAGAAACTTAGCATATAATAGCTCATTTATATTTGTTATTGTCTTTAATGTAATCTTCACAACAAACTCATGAGCTCAGAAACTTTGGTCTCATTTTATGGATAAATACATGTTTTAAATAATTTGTATAACACACTCACAGTTTAACTGTGAGTAGAAGTAGGCATGCCAAGTTTTCAAATCAGATTTTTCTAACTGCAGAGTCTATGCTTTTTTGACAGAATTAGACTGAGTTAGGAGCTGGGACTTGACACCAGGGTGGGGCTTGGAGGCTTGGACAATGGACCATATGGAGGACTAGCTAAAACAGAGTGCGGGCAAAATTAGCTTTCTTTTTCTTTTCCTTTTTTTTTTTTTTTTTTTGAAACAAGGTCTCCATCTCTCTCCCAAGCTGGAATGCAGTGGCACAATCTCAGCTCACCTCCACCTCCTGGGTTCAAGCGATTCTCATGCCTCAGCCTCCCGAGTAGCTGGGACTATAGGCACGCGCCACCACACCTGGCTAATTTTTGTATTTTTACTAGAGATGGGGTTTCACCATGTTGGCCAGGCTGGTCTTGAACTCCTGACCTCAGGTGATCCGCCCGCCTTGGCCTCCCAAAGTGCTGGGATTATAGGCGTGAGCCACCTCACCTGGCTGCAAAATCAGCTTTCAATCAGACATGCCTACCAGTGTGCCATGTCAATTTACCATTGCCATGGCAACATTTGGGAGTTACCGCCCCTTTACATGGCAATGATCCAAGGATTACTACCCTTTCCCTAGAAATTTCTGCATAAACCACCCCTTAATCTGCATGCAATTAAAAATGGGAATAAATATGACTGCAAAACTGCCCTGAGCTGCTACCCTCTGCCTAGGGCTAGCCCTGCTCTCCAAGGGCAGTCATGGAGCTGTAATATTGCTGGAGGTGTAACACTGCCTCTTCAATTAAGCCGTTTACTTCTACCTCTGGCTTGCCCTTGAATTCTTTCCTGGGCAAAGCCAAGAACCCTTGCAGGCTAAGATCCACTCTGTGGCCCACCTGTCCTGCATCAAGACTATGACTATATGTAAATTGCATATGTATTTTGAGGCTTGGCCTTAGGTCACACCTACTGGCTTTTCTTGGCCAGCACTGCCTTTGGTTGGATTCAGATTTACACTGTGGCAGTCCCTAATATACATATATAGCAACTGTAACTGAAATCGAGATTGAAATCTGTACAAAAATGGTATCAGTTCATAACCAAGCTGTGATGTTATTACAGAGAGTTAACTAGGAAGATATTAGTTTTTCTGGTGACTCTTTTCCTATATCTTATTTTGAACAGCGTATGTAATAATTTCATTTATTTGGATGTAGAAACATTTAAAATATTTTCATATTCTTTTTTACGCTAAAGTTGAACATTGTTCATTCTCTAATAACTTTGATGTACCATAACAATTGCCTTACCAAAAAAATTCATTTAGTTTAGAAAATTGTATCAACTTTTATCTTTTTCCTATTTGACATCTTATTTTATGTACAGTGGGTGTTTAGACTTTTTTTTTACTTTGTCATAGATAGATGGATACATAGATAGATATATACATCAATAGATAATAGATAAACTCAGGTTAAATAATGGTATAAAGAAATACGTGAATGCATGTTTTGCTTACTGTGATCCAATGTGTCATTTGTAGATAAGGATGAATATCTTAAGAAGACTAGAGATGGTGTTTTGCCTCCCTACCAGGATGCTAAACCACCCTCTCCTGCTTCAATTAAAAAGACATACACCACTAGCAAATTCAATGATGCTGAACCTGCAAAGGGAAACTTATTTATTGGTATGTAGCAAATATATAGTGTACTTTCCAAAATTAGTCCATGACATGATCTCCTTAATATCACTTAATTTAAGGTTAGGTTTTTACAAATAACAAGAAATTCATGAAGAAAATTGGGAATTTGTCATTAATTTTAAATGGATCATCTGTTTGGAGAGTTGTCTTCAAGGGTCAATAGTAGAGATTCTCTAATGTTCTTGGTTCACAGCACTCTTACTGTTTCAGTATTTACTTTTCTGAATGCCAAAATGTAGCACATAGTTCCATTTATTAAATGCATTGGGACAAAAATGTAAGAGTAGTACTTATGTGCTGTCTAATAGATGTTGCAGTAATATTTAACAAAAACGTTAATACCTGTGGAGCCTCTGTAAATTTACTGTGACATCCCAAGCACTCTCTGTGCACAGTTTGGGAACTGCAGAACTAAGGACTTGTCTCTTCGTTGTCTAACTAACTGTAGCCAAGGTTTCCTGTCTTAGAAAGAGGTCAGCACAGATAAATATGTGAGTTTCATACTATTATTTACCATTAACTGTTCAAATATTTATTTCTCTGGATGTAGGTAATAATGAACATTTTTCTTTTTATTGAATGGACCAAACCAAATTAAATAATATGAGGTTTTTAGTGAGTATGTGATTGTGCCATTATATAACCAGATATTTTTGGAAAAAAAAGATGAAATCATTTTATATTCTTGAAAATTACTTTAACTTGAAAATGCTTTGTTTTATTCAAGTACTTGATTTGGATAG
Organism: Homo sapiens; assembly: GCF_000001405.40. Classification (NCBI taxonomy): domain Eukaryota; kingdom Metazoa; phylum Chordata; class Mammalia; order Primates; family Hominidae; genus Homo; species Homo sapiens. Next base: position 36,072,730 of record NC_000023.11, read on the forward strand.
AAAGTCATTTGGGATCTAAACCAATATTGTCTTTGTATAATTTTTTCAGATGAGATTAAATTTTTTCTAATACATAATGCTGAAGATTGTCAATACATTTTATTAATGTAATAAAAAATGAAAGATTCCACTTCAGGGAATATTTTCACATACCATTATGGCAAGAAGAAAATGTAACTTTTATGTATTGAAATCCAGCTATTGTTAAAACGTTTCTCTTAGGTACTTAAAAGTAAATGTATTTTCATTGTTTACTTTAAGATATAGTAAATTGACTCAGAATTTCTTTGAGAGCATAGAATAATTTGTAGAATAGGTTCTATTAGTCTGCATACAAATGACAATAACTGACAGAATATTTTACTCCTCGTCAAGTAGCCCTTTTTTAACAAACTAATTTTAATTTTAGGAGTGGAAGTACTGCCTGAAAATTTGCACTTGGATGAAAGTGAAACATCAGAGGAAGATCATGGGTCTCTGGAAAAGGAAAAATATGAACAATTCCTTTCTCTTGAGGAAGGAACAAAGGCACACTACTTTTTTGAGAAGGTTGTAAATGCAGCACAGACCTGGTTCAGTCTCTTTGGCTGGCCTGAAGGACCCCATTCTTTTTCTATTCCAGAGACTATAAGAAGGTGAGAGTCCCATGTTTCTCTAAATTCTTTGCTTCATATCACATCATAAAATATAATCTATTGATTGAGATTATTTTAAGTGAAATACAATATGAAGTAATTTATTCTAAACTGATATATTATGAAGCATCTCATAATTTATTGTTGTTATTGCAAGAAGAGTAAAATGATGCAAACACAAATTTTTTAGTATAATGTCATCTTTAATTTCTTTTAAATATCTGATAATTTTAGGCAAGCACTGAACATCTCTGAACCTCACCTTCCTCATCTGTGATATGAGGAAGGTTATACTGTGAGTAGGAAAGCCCTTTTAATATTAGCCCTAGATCGAGATTATAGCCAGGTAGACAGGTAATGGTATTAATGAACAAGGAGGGCTCACTTTTCTTTGACTTGATTTCCTCTTTTACAGTGCATTTACTTCCCTTCTTTCATGTGCTGTTTTGTTACTCAGTATGTCTAAAATAGTTCAACTGTTTTGATTATATCAAGTGACTTACTTCTGTTGTTAATGTAAACAGGAGTTTAGGCCTGTTACTGGTTATAATGTTGTTGGTGTGATATGTTCTCAGAGCTTTTCTACCTGCTTTCTCAGCAATGAGGTAACTTGCTGCAACCACGGCAGGGAGTACAGTACTCATAGCTATAGTGGACTATGGGCTATTTATAGAATTTCTGCTCTATATTCGAGTGACCTAGGTAAAACTAAGGCTGCAGTTTTCCTATATGTTACCTTTTTCAGGTTTTTTAATTAATAGGACAAACCTAGCTTCATGGAATGAATTGGCTAATATTTCATCTTTGTCCCTGCTGTGAGAAAATTAATGCAATTGATACCCTGAAAATTTATAGTTTTCATCATAAAATCATTTGTTATTGAAACATTTTTTGGAATGTTTGTGCATCTTCTTTCTTGAACCTGAAGATAGAGATTGTCAGAAATGCTCTTTGTTGATGTGTACCTTGCGTAATTTCACTCTTTAGAAACACCACTTCACAGCAATAAGGAAGATAAGGCCCGGTTCATTTGTTGATTGCTGAGATATATACAAGTAGAATAGCAGAAGACAAAGAAATTATTTGAGGGGATTTCCTATTTATTGATAATTCTTAGTCTGTTTTCTTTTTCATAAGGCTATGAAAATTTTATTAACTTATATTTTGTCTTTTACAATAACTTTTCTTCATAAACATATTTTGGGATCTAGTTAATGAATTAGATGACTTATGGAGTTTTTTCAAATTTTTGAACAAATTGCAATCATATATAATTATACGGTACACAGCGTTAATATGGTATATATATGTACAGTGTGGAATAATTAAATCAAGATAATGAACATATTCATCATCTTAAGTATTTATCATTTATTTCTCTTGTATAATTGCAACCTTGTATCATTTGACCAACATCTCTCGGGTCCCTCAACCTTCAGCCTCTGATGACCACCATTTCACTCTCAGCTTCAATGAATTCAACTTTTTTAGATAAAATGTATGAGTGAGATCATGTAATATTCATCTTTCTATGCCTGGCTTATTTCACTTAGCATAATGTCCTTCAGGTTCATCCATGTTGTCAAAAACTACTGGATTTCACTCTTTTTTAAGGCTGAGGAGTGTTACATTTTCTTTATCCATTCATCTGTTGATTGACACTTAGGTTGATTCCATATCTTGGCTATTGTGAATAATGCTGTAATAAACCTGGGAGTGATTATATCGTTTCAATGTACTGATTTCATTTACTTTAAATAGATGCCCAGTATTGGGATAGGTGGATCATGTGGTAGCTTTATTTTAATGTTTTAATTTTAATTTTATATGTATTATTTTTATTTATTTATTTATTTATTTATTTATTTATTTATTTATTTAGAGATGGAGTCTCTCTCTGTCACCCAGACTGGGGTGTAGTGGCGCAATCTCGGCTAACTGCAACCTCCGCTTCCCGGGCTCAAGCAGTTCTTCTGCCTCAGCCTCCCAAGTAGCTGAGACTACAGGTGCTTGCCACCATGCCTGGCTAATTTTTGTATTTTTCATAGAGACAGGGTTTCACTATGTTGGCCAGGCTGGTCTAGAACTCCTGACCTCGTGATCCACCTGCCTTGGCATCCCAAAGTGCTGGGATTACAGGCATGAGCCACTGCGCCCAGCCTGTTGTTATTTTTTAATAATTTCAACTTTTATTTTAGATTCAGGGGTACATGTGCAATATACATGCATATATTGTGTGATGCTGAGGTGTGGAATACAAATAATCCTGTCACCCAAATAAAGAGCACAGTACACAACAGTTTTTCGACACTTGTTTCCTTCCCTCATGTCTCCTTCTGTTAGTCCTGAGTGCCTTTTGTGGCCATCTTTTTGTTCATGAGTACCCAATATTTAGGTCCCACAAGAGAGAGCATGCGGTATTTGGTTTTTTTGTTCCTGTGTTTATTCATTTAAGATAATGGTCCAGCTGCATCCATGTTGCTGCAAATGACATGATTTCATTCTTTTTTATGGTTTCATAGTATTCCATTGTGTATATATACCACATTTTCTTTATCCAGTCCACCATTGATGGGGAACTAGGTTGATTCTATCTCTTTGCTATCACTATTGCTGTGATGAATATACAAGTGCATATGGCTTTTGGTAGAATGATTTATTTTCTTTTGGATATATACCCCACAATGGGATTGCTGGGTTGAATGGTATTTCTGTTTTAAGTTCTTTGAGAAATCTCCAAACTGCTTTCCACAGTAGCTGATCTTACTTGCATTCCTACCAATAGTATTTAAACATTCACTTTTCTTTTTTTTCTTTTTTTTTTTTTATTATACTTTAAGTTTTAGGGTACATGTGCATAACGTGCAGGTTTGTTACATATGTATACATGTGCCATGTTGGTGTGCTGCACCCATTAACTCATCATTTAACATTAGGTATATCTCCTAATGCTATCCCTCCCCCCTCCCCCCACCCCACAACAAGCCCCGGTGTGTGATAAACATTCACTTTTCTCTGCAGCCTCACAAACATCTCTTTTTTTTGCCTGTTTAGTAATAGCCATTCTGACTGGTGTGAGATGGTATCTCACTGTGATGTTGATTTGTATTTCTCTGATGTTTAGTAATGTTGAGCACTTTTTCATATGTTCATTGGCCAGTTATATATCTCCTTTTGAAAAGTGTCTGTTTATGTTATTTGCCCACTTTTTAATGGGGTTATTTGTTTTTTGCTTTTAAACTGTTTCAGTTCCTTCTAGGTTATGGATATTAGACCTTTGTCAGATGCATAGTTTGCAAATATTTGCTCCCATTCTGTAGGTTGTCTGTTTACTCTGTTAATAGTTTCCTTTGCTGTGCAGAAGCCCTTTAGTTTAACTGGTCCCACTTGTCACTTTTTTCTTTTTGTTGCAATTGATTTTGAGGACTTAGACATAAATTCTTTCCCAAGGCCAATGTCCAGAATGGTGATTCCTAGGTTTTCCTCTAGAATTCTTATAGATTGGGACTTTATATTTAAATCTTTAATCCATCCTGAGTGAATTTTTGTATATGGTGAAAGTTAGGGGTCTACTTTTAATCGTCTGCAAATGACTAGCCAAGTATCATAGTATCATTTATTGAATACAGAATCCTTTCTCCATTGCTTATTTTTGTTGACTGTGTTGAAGATTAGATGGCTGTAGCTATACAGCTTTATTTCTGGATTCTCTATTCTGTTCCGTTGGTCTTTGTGTCTGTTTTTATACCAGTACCATCCAATTTTGGTTCCTGTAGCCTTATAGTACAGTTTGAAGTCAGGTAATACAGCGCCTCCAGCTTTTTTTTTTTTTTTTTTTTTTTTTTTTTTTTTTTTTTTTGCTCAGGAGTCATTCGGTTATTTGGGCTTATTTTTGGTTACATATGAATTTTAGAAAAGTTTTTTTTTATAATTCTTTGAAAAATAGCATTGGTAATGTGGTAGAAATAGCAGTGAATCTGTAGATTGCTTTGGGCAGTAAGTCCATTTTAACTATATTGATTCTTCCAATCAATGAGCATAAAATGTTTTTCCATTTGTTTGTGTCATCTATGATTTCTTTCAGCAGTGTTTTATAGATCTCCTTGTATAGATCTTTCACCCCCTTGGTCAGATGTATTATTAGGTATTTTATTTTTCTGTGGCTATTGTAAATAGGACTGCCTTCTTGATTTGGCTCTCAGTGTGAACATTATTGGTGTATAGAAATACTACCAATTTTCATACATTGATTTTGTATCTTGAAACTTTACTGAAGTCATTTGTCAGTTACAGCAAATCTCTGGGATGCAGCAAAAACATTGTTAAGAGGAATGTTTATAATGCTAAACACCTACCTCAAAAATTAGAAAGATTCCAAATTGCTGGGTGCAATGGCTCATACCTGTAATTCCAGCACTTTGGGAGGCTGAGGTGGGTGGATTGCTGGAGGTCATGAGTTCAAGACAAGCCTGGCCAACATGGTGAAACCCCATCTCTACAAAAATACACAAAAAATTAGTCAAGCATGGTGGCACACTCCTATAGTCTCAGCTACTAGGGAGGCTGAGGCAGGAGAATTTATTGAACCCATGAGGCGGAGGTTGCAGTGAGCTGAGATCGTGCCACTGCACTCCAGCCTGAATGACAGAGCAAGACTCAGTCTCAAAAAAAAGAAAAAAAAAAGAAAAATCTCAAATTAAACTTCACACATTGAGGCAGTAGAAAAACTACATTTACTGAGGAGTGCTTTACTTCCAACTATGTGGTCAATTTTGGAATAAGTGCAATGGGGTGCTGAGAAGAATGTATATTCTGTTGATTTGGGGTGGAGAGTTCTGTAGATGTCTATTAGGTCTGCTTGGTGCAGAGCTGAGTTCAAGTCCTGGATATCCTTGTTAATCTTCGGTCTCGTAGATCTGTCTCATATTGACAGTGGGGTGTTAAAGTCTCCCATTATTATTGTGTGGGAGTCTAAGTCTCTTTGTAGGTCTCTAAGGACTTGCTCTATGAATCTGGGTGCTCCTGTATTGGGTGCATATATATTTAGGATAGTTAGCTCTTCTTGTTGAATTGATCCCTTTACCATTATGTAATGGCCTTCTTTGTCTCGTTTGATCTTTGTTGGTTTAAAGTCTGTTTTATCGGAGACTAGGATTGCAACCCCTACTTTTTTTTTGTTTTCCATTTGCTTGGTAAATCTTCCTCCATCACTTTATTTTGAGCCTATGTGGGTCTCTGCACATGAGATGGGTCTCCTGAATACAGCACACTGATGGGTCTTGACTCTTTATCCAATCTGCCAGTCTGTGTCTTTTAAATGGGGCATTTAGCCCATTTACATTTAAGGTTAATATTGTTATGTGTGAATTTGATCCTGTCATTATGATGTTAGCTGCTTATTTTGCAATGATGGTCTTTACAATTTGGCATGTTTTTGCAGTGGCTGGTACCGGTTGTTCCTTTCCATGTTTAGTGCTTCCTTCAGGAGCTCTTTTAGGGCAGGCCTGGTGGTGACAAAATCTCTCAGCATTTGCTTGTCTATAAAGGATTTTATTTCTCCTTCACTTATGAAGCTTAGTTTGGCTGGATATGAAATTCTGCGTTGAAAATTCTTTTCTTTAAGAATATTGAATATTGGCCCCCACTCTCTTCTGGCTTGTAGGGTTTCTGCCAAGAGATCCACTGTTAGTCTGATGGACTTCCCTTTGTGGGTAACCCGACCTTTCTCTCTGGCTGCTCTTAGCATTTTTTCCTTCATTTCAACCTTGGTGAATCTGACAATTATGTGTCTTGGGGTTGCTCTTCTTGAGGATATCTTTGTGGTGTTCTCTGTATTTCCTGAATTTGAATGTTGGCCTGCCTTGCTAGGTTGGGGACATTCTCCTGGTTAATATCCTGCAGAGTGTTTTCCAACTTGGTTCCATTCTCCCCGTCACTTTCAGGTACAGCAGTCAAACATAGATTTGGTCTTTTCACATAATTCCATATTTCTTGGAGGCTTTGTTAGTTTCTCTTTATTCTTTTTTCTCTAAACTTCTTTTCTTGCTTCATTTCATTCATTTGATCTTCAGTCACTGATACCCTTTCTTCCACTTGATCAAATTGGCTACTGAAGCTTGTGCATGCATCACGTAGTTCTAGTGCCATGGTTTTCAGCTCCGTCTGGTTATTTAAGGTCTTCTCTACACTGTTTATTCTAGTTAGCCAATCATCTAATCTTTTGTTCAAGATTTTTAGCTTCCTTGAGATAGGTTCGAACATCCTCCTTTAGCTCGGAGAAGTTTGTTATTACTGACTTTCTGAAGCCTACTTCTGTCAAATTGTCAAAGCAACAATGGTACTGGGAAAACTGGCTAGCCATATGTAGAAAGCTGAAACTGGATCCCTTCCTTACACCTTATACAAAAATTAATTCAAGATAGATTAAAGACTTAAATGTTAGACCTAAAACCTTAAAAACCCTAGAAGAAAACCTAGGCTATACCATTCAGGACATAGGCATGGGCAAGGACTTCATGTCTAAAACACCAAAAGCAATGGCAACAAAAGCCAAAATAGACAAATGGGATCTAATTATACTAAAGAGCTTCTACATGGCAAAAGAAACTACCATCAGAGTGTACAGGCAACCTACAGAATGGGAGAAAATTTTTGCAGTATACCCATCTGATAAAGGGCTAATATCCAGAATCTACAAAGAACTTAAACAAATTTACAAGAAAAAAATCAAACAACCCCATCAAAAAGTGGGCAAAGGATATGAGGAGACGATTTTCAAAAGAAGACATTTATGCAGCCAACAAACACATGAAAAAATGCTCATCATCACTGGTCATCAGAGAAATGCAAATCAAAACCACAGTGAGATACCATCTCACATCCATTAGAATGGCGATCATTAAAAAGTCAGGAAACGAGGTACTGGAGAGGATGTGGAGAAATAGGAACACTTTTACACTGTTGGTGGGACTGTAAACTAGTTCAACCATTAGTGGAAGACAGTGTGGCAATTCCTCAAGGATCTAGAACTAGAAATACCATTTGACCCAGTGATCCCATTACTGGGTATATACCCAAAGGATTATAAATCATGCTACTCTAAAGACACATGCCCATGTATGTGTATTCCAGCACTATTCACAATAGCAAAGACTTGGAACTAACCCAAATGTCCATCAATGATAGACTGGATTAAGAAAATGTGGCACATATACACCATGGAATACTATGAAGCCACAAAAAAGGATGAGTTCATGTCCTTTGCAGCAACATGGATGAAGCTGGAAACCATCATTCTGAGCAAACTATCACAAGGACAGAAAACCAAACACCGCATGTTCTCACTCGTAGGTGGGAACTGAACAATGAGAACACTTGGACACAGGGTGGGGAACATCACACACCAGGGCCTGTTGTGGGGTTGGGGGATGGGGGAGGGATAGCATTAGGAGAAATATCTAATGTAAATGACGAATTAATGGGTGCAACAAACCAACACAGCGCATGTATACATATGTAACAAACCTGCACATTGTGCACATGCACCCTAGAACTTAAAAGTATAATTAAAACAAAAGAAAAACTAGGAAAACTAACTCAAAAGCTAGCAGAAGAAAATAAATTACTAAAATAAGAGCAGAACTCAATGAACTTGAAACTCAAAAATATATGCAAAGAATCAACAAAACCAAAACATGGTTTTTTGAAAAGATAAACAAGATTGATAGACTACTAGCTAGACTAAGAAAGAAAAAAAGAGAGAATATACAAATAAGCACAATCAAAATCACTAAATGTGGCATTACAACTGATCCCACAGAAATACAAAGGATCCTAAGAGATGTTTATGAACACTTCGGTGCACAAGAACTAGAAAATTTAGAGAATGTGGATAAATTCCTGGAAGCACACATCCTCTCAAGATTGAATCAGGAAGAAATTGAATCCCTGAACAGATCAATATTGATTTCAAAAATTAAATAAGTAATAAAAAACCTACTAACAAAAGCCATGGGCCAAAAGAATTCACAGCCAAATTCTACCAGATATTCAAAGAAGAGCTGTTAACAATTATACTGATTCTATTCCAAAAAATCAAGGAGGAAAGACTCCTCCCTAACACACTCTTGGAAGCCAGCATCACTGTGATACCAAAACCTGGCAGAGACACATTGAAAAAAGAAAACTATAGGCCAATATTCCTGATGAACATAGATGTAAAAATCCTTAATAGAATATTAGAAAACTGAATCCAGTAGCACATCAAAATGCTAATTCACCATGATCAAGTAGGCTTCATTCCTGGGATGCAAGGTTGATTCAACACACACTAATTAGTCAATGATTCACCGCATGTAAGGAATTAAAAACAAAAACTGTGTGATCATCTCAATAGATGTGATAAAAGCCTTCAATAATATCCAACATCCCTTCATGATAAAAAATCTCAACAGAGTCACCAGCAAAGGAACATACCTGAAAATAACAAGAGCCATCTATGACAGCCAATATCATACTGAATGGGCATAAGCTGGAACCATTTCCCTTGAGTACTAGAACAAAACATGGATGCCCACTCTGACCACTGCTATTCAAAATAGTATGAGAAGTCCTTTTCAGAGCAAGCAGACAAGAGAAAGAAACAAAAGGCATCCAAATAAAAGAAGTCTTACTTCTGTCTTCACTGATGTTATGATTTTATGCTTAGAAAACCCTAGTTTTATTTTTATTTTTTTGAGGAACCTCCATAATGTTTCCTACATCACTGTACTAATTTACCTTCCTACCAGAAGTGTGCAAGGGTTCCCTTTTCTCCGCATCTTCTCCAAAACTTGTTATTGTTCATATTTCTTATAAGTCAATATAACAGGCCTGAGATAATATCTCGTTGGGATTTTAATTTGTACTTCCTTTATAATTAATGACTTTGGGCATCAGTCTGTTTTCAGTTCCTAGAAGCCCTTAGGTATTATTTCTTTTTTGCTCTTCCCCTAATCACCAGAAGATAGAAGTAGCCCTGGAAATAGACAAGAAAACACAATTTATGTTTCAGAGATAATCACAGAAAATGTAGTAAATATTATAGTCTATTCTTTTCAAGCTGGGTGAATTGTAGAAATAACATTTTCTATAAACACCGCTGAGAAGATCTCTAAGCAACTAATCATAGAGTCATTTGAATCGTACTGGAAGTCCCACTTATTCTGAGAGAAGTAATTGCAGTACATGTAGGTGCTGTCCCAGGATTCCACTCTAGCATGAAGCTTCCTGCAGCTGCCACATACAAACAACACATCCTAGAATGCCAGTCAGGAAGCTTAAGGGGAAGCTTAAGGAAAGCTTGTTCCAAAGCTAACTATTCCATCCCAGAGCCTCTCATTTAGTATAATACATAGAATCTTATAGAAAATCAAATCCTTCCAGTAGAATGTTTTATCTTTCATAACAAGAGGATCTGAAATGAGGAAAATATTTCCTCTATGCCTCCATTTTCTCATCTGTAAAAAAGGAGATAATGATAATACCTAACCAATACAGTTGTTGTAACATTTATGAGATAATATATTTAATGCATGTCAGAGCAGACCTTAGGACCTAGTAAGTCTTCAGTAAATCTTAGCTATTATTAATAAGTTTAATTAGGATTATGTTAATATAGTTATGTATTTCTAATTTCATTAATCATATTCACCAACTCTTTTTGTATTTGGCAGTAGAGAGTCAGTTTAAAACTCATCATTTTCAAGAGAGCACTTTTCCAAATTATGTTTTATTAATAATATTTCACCTTTCTTTGCAGGATGTTTCCCCAGCTTGATTCAGGAACATTTGACTTTTATTTATATAAATACACACACATGTGCATACATACATATAGATGTAGTATACATATATGCATGTATACATGCATGTATACATGTACGTATGTATACACATATATGTGTATATGTACTTATATATTACATATATACTTATATATGTATGTATATATATGCACATATATATAGCATAGCATGCTTTTCTCTTTGCAGCTTTGAGCTGCTGGCAAGCTCACTGATAAATTTAATAGTATTAAAATGAAATGTCACCTCCATTTCTGGGCATCCTGCCCATTCATACTGTAAACAGTGTCCAACAAAGTCATAGAAACTTGACTTTAGATTCAAGCTAAGTATTAAAATGAAAATGACTATAATAACTCATTCTAGTTGTGTTCCTTGAATTCTTACTTTTGCACACTAGTATAACAATAATGAGATATTCTACAATTCTTATGTTTAAAAGAGTTTTATTTGTTAATCATTTTACTGCATGTTTGCTGGTGATAGTGATGGGTGAGACTTTTGAATATTTTCAATCTCCAAATAGGGGATTCTCATAATTGAAAAATAAACAAAATCCTTTAACATATTAATATATATGTAAGAGCAAAATGAATATAGTTAAACTATATATAGGCAACTATGGAGTTATTAAACAATAATGATTTAATAATGTTTAATACTATTATTTTTGTTTAATTATGGTTTTTAATCAGTTCATATTTGCCTATATATTTATCAACATCATTGTTCTTTTTTTTGCATCATTAGTCTTGCAGGTAGGATGATTTTTATTTTCTCAAATGTTGCAGTATGAATACTATTCTATGACCTATATTTCATTGCAGTAATTTTGTTTTTATTTGATTTAATCTACTGTTAGACTCATCCATTGATTTCTTAATTTTATTTATTCAGATTTTTATTTGTGAATGCTCCATTAGTCAAATTTTATGTACCTTATTGTTCCATGGCAAAATTATCAATTTTGAACATAGTACATATGGTTAGTTTAAAACCTGTGTCTTACAACTATAATACCTGGGATCCCTGAATGTCTGTTTTTATTGCTTATTGTTCATTTTAGTTTGCATTAATCTTGACCAATAGTGGTATTAATTTTCTCCATAAAATATTTGTTTCTTTGCTGGTAACTTCAGGATACACTAGCTCTATCATACCCATTACTTATGAAGAAACTAAGGAACAGAAAAGTCAAGTAACTTTTATAATGTCATGCAATAAGTGGAAGAGCCATATTTTGAGCAGTGGTAGTCTATTTCTTGCCCAGTGGAACGTATTTTCTTCTGTGTGAACTTCCTATCTACCAAAGTGGGTAACTGCCATTCAAAATGGCCTCGGGTACTTATTTGTCAATCTAAGCAAGTGATACATCTGTGACTCTCATTGCTAACAGTTAGACAATGTGGTGTGAGATATTTAATAAATTATAGACAGCAAGAATAGTGGTAATTTTTAACTTCATTTAAAGTCAGTATGCATCACAACCTTGTGCAATATTACTAGGAATTAGAGATTGCAGTATCTGATTTAAAGAACAGAGGAATATATGTTATCTGTGGGCTTTATCTTTAAAATGAAAATCCCTGCTTATTAAGCCAATGTGCAGGATTTGCCCTTCTAAGCATTAAAATACAAATAGTGAGAAAATGTGTGTACATTATTTTTGTATATACATGTGTGATAAACATTTGAAATCTATCTTGGAAACTATTACAGACCTCATTATCTCCAATTTATATCATGCAAAATTGAGCTCAGTGAGTTTAGATAGCTTGCCATACTCACTCAGCTAGTAGGTGATGGGTTTAAATTCAATCTCTATTCTGTTTCTCAAGATCCAATCTATTCATAATCTAATACTTCAGATTTGACAGTTGCAACATTAGATAATTATGTGTGTTTAAATGAGATACTGGAAATCTATGATAATATTTAACAAATCTTTTTTGACCAACAAATGGTAGCCTAGTGAAGTGTATTATGGAGTTTCTTACTTAGTTGATTTTAATAGAGTTTCATTTAGTCATTGAATTGAACATGTTTTTTTTTCCCCCATACTATAACATTTTGAGACTGTTTTTAATTTTAAGTCTTTTTCTCATAGGGATGTATATAAAATGCAATTCTACTCATCAACCTCGCCACCCCAAAAGTTTTCCAGACAGAATGACTTTTCCAAATATAATAAGACCATTTATGATGTGCTGCTCCATTTGAGTGGAAAAATGCCACCTGGAATTAATTCAAGTCAATCTTTACCTGTAGATAACCATGAAAAAAGGGTAATTCAACTCCATTTGCAACATTCCTCACTTCTGGACTTTCTCAAGTAAGTGCCTGGATGTGCTCATATAAGCATATAACTCTGGCTTGGATAGTTAGATAAATGAACAGATAGATAGACTTTGATATTATTTTCCTTTCTAACCAAACACACACACACACACACACACACACATAAATATACACACACGTATATATATATTATATATATATATGTATGGTAAAGTATATATATCTCACACATTTTGAAAAATATATAATGCTTAATAGCCAATAAGCATTTTATGATGTATTGGATTTTTAAGGCAATCATTCTTATACTTTATCATGCATCAAAATCACTGAGAGGGTCTGTTAAAACAACAGTTTACTGACCCTTACCCATTGAGTTTTTCAAAGTTAATTTTCATTTATAACAAGTTTCAAGGTGATGCTGATATTTCTGATCCATTACCTTCATTTTGAAAATCCTGGTCTACAGCAAATACATAAATCCATTTAGCTAAAAAGGGATGAAACCAACAAGCTTTATTTCTCAGACTATTATTAGTATCATCTCAATTTATGGGTACTGTGGACTTTTAGTCTGCATAGATAAATTAAAATAGTAGGAAGGCGAAAGGAATTTTAAATGGTTGATGCAAAAGATAGGAAAAATAATTGTCGTAATATCTGTGTTCCTCTGCAAAGATTAAATGGCAAGTCGCCAAGAAATGGAAAAACAATGTACATTTACATTCTGAGAAGAGTACTGGTGAATTTACATTGCTTCTTTAGCCTGCGCTTGCAACATCCATGTACACTGAAACATCCCACATCCATAGGCAGTAATTTATTTAGCATCGAGTTGAACATGTTATTACTCCCTCTTCCATGCTCCTATACAATTAAAATGGCATTTATCACTTATAATTGTTTATGTAATATGGTTAATATATTTTTAGATGTATTATTGTGATTTTCTCTTTTGCTTCTTTGTTTATGGAATCTGCTCCATAGTTGTTCAGAGATGTTCATCTATCCTAGCAGGAATAGAGATGGAGGGCAAGAAGAATACTCTTATAGCAGGAATACAAATTAAAGATTTGACATTCAATTTTTTATTTCCAAATCAGGATTTTTGAGTCCCTAGTGATACTGTGTATTAAAACTTTGACATGTTACTTAAAATATTTTCTTTCATTTCTTAGGCTCTCAATATCATGGTAATAAGGCAAGACTGGCTTGGTTCCTTGTGGATTGCAAGGTAGCTAGAAGTTTCTAAATCACTTAAGGTGACTGAATCAAGATCCAGGCAGCTTGTCATGGCGGCTTCTGTGTTGGGATGTTAGAGGGACGCCACTGGAGAGGCAGAAGAGTGGCAGTTGTCTGGCCCTGATGCCACAATAGGAATGACAAATATATGAGGACTAGGGAGTGGCTGAGTCAGTTATAGGAGACCTCTTGGTCCTTGACGGGCCTAAGGGCAGAGACAGAAGATCCCCATCTCAGACATCAGCAGCATATGCCCACATGACACAGACATTTCAGGCAGAGAAGAGGCACAGCAAAAAAAGAACAAGTATCCAGAAATGCAGTCACCGACCTTCATGTACAAATATAGGAATCCCTCTCCCTGTCTCGTGTAAGCCCAAATCCAGCATGGATGATCCTAATTCTGAGAGTTCTTAATACAATTTGAGGAACCCTTCTATATAAAATAGCAAATGAAAAATATAAATATTAGATACATGGCTTTAGAAGGTAATCATGAAAGTAAAAAAACCTGAAGTTAAAACGGTATTTATTTGACAATGAGTCTACCTTTTCTCAGGTGCCATCTGGCATGGATAGGTGGGGGTGAAATTTTGCCTGTTAATCACAAATAACAGAATTTCTGTAAAGAGATTCTTTGGGTAGAAGACCTAAAGATACATGGAGATGCAATTTTGCATTTTCTCTGTATCCTTCTGCACTCAATCTAAATGGGAGAATGAGAATGGTTATATCAGTTAAGGAAATAACACAGCTATGTGGAATTTTGTAAATCACTTTCAACTCCGCTGGCTTATCCCTGAGTCAGTGAATCCCACAAATCTGTGAGCATCTTAAGGGCAGAAACCACATCTCATTCATCTGGAATTTCTAACACCCAGGATCACTGGGAGCATGGAATGGGGCCAATGTTCATTACATATTTATTTTTTAACATTTTCTTTCACAGAGATTTACCTTTTGAATTTGTGTGGTATAAGGAATGAAACATGGAAATTGCATCGCAGGACATTTATATAAGAATGAAGAAAATGCTGTGAAATATAAAAAGTGGTAAAAGAAAGGGTGAAAAATTTGCATTTCAGGAAGGAGAATGTAACAAATGAGAGGGTCAAGTTGGAGCAAACAACGTAAATTTTTTTTCTCAGAGTTCTGGATGCTAGAAGTCCAAGATCAAGGTATTGTCAAGGTTGGTTTCTTCCGAGGTTTCTCTGCTGGCAGATAAACTCTTCTTGCTGTGTCCTCATGTGGTTTTTCCTCTGTGTACCCATTTCCCTGATGTCTTTCTGTGTATTCAAATTTCATCTTCTTATAAAGACACAAGCCAAACTGGATTTGGTACCACTCTAATTACATCATTTTACATTAGTTATCTTTTTAAAGACCCTAACTCCAAATACAGTCACATTCTGAAGTCCTGAAATTTATGGTTTCAACATATGAACTTTGTGGAGGGGTGTAATGTAGACCATAGCAATACCATATGTGTTATATTATGAAACAATATTCTGTAACTGAATGTTATATTTTATAATAAATTTTGTATGGATATATTTGCAGTAATATATTTCTTGTCATTTGTGTCTGGTATGGACTGAATTGTGCCCCATCCCAAATTCATATGTTGAAACCCTAACCCCCAATGTGATTTTATTTGGAGATAAGGCCTTAAAGGATGTTATTAAGGTTAAATGTAGGGCCCTAATCCAATAGGATGGATGTCCTTTAAAGAAGAGGAAGAGATGCCAGATCTCTCTCTCTTCTCTTCTCTCTCTCTCTCTCTCTTTCTCATTATAGAGAGAATGCTATGTGAGTACACAGTGGGCAGATGGCCATCTACAAGCCAGGAAAAGAGGCCTCACCTAGAACCAAATTTTTGACACCTTGATCTTGAACTTACAGCATCCAGAATGGTGAAAGAATAAATGTCTTGTTTGAGCCACTTATCCTGTGGTATTTTCTTATGGCAGCTTGAGCTTACCAATATCATATCTAACATCCTTTGATACAATTTCACTTGTTTATAGTTATTATCATTTTATGATTAATTAATTTTCATTGAAAATAATAAAATTTTTAAAAATTTATAATTTGTGTAGTATAAAACTAAAACCGACACAGAATATCAACATCTTCTGCCGTACATTGTAACTAAAAAGTAGACCATCAGAAGAATATAAAGCTATTGTAACTCTTATTTTTAAATTCCACTAAGTTTTTAAATAAATAGTTAATTCACCAAAATAAATACACTTAGAAAAAGCAACTCACATCCCCTTATATGTAAATTTAGTTCCACTTGTGATTTTCACTTTTATCCTTAAAAATTTTATATCCTGGGCTGGGTGCGGTGGCTCACGCGTATAATCCCAGCACTTTGGGAGGCCGAGGTGAGTGGATCACACAAGGTCAGGAGTTTGAGACCAGCCTGGCCAACATGGAGAAGCCCTGTCTCTACTAAAAACACAAAAAATTAGCTGAGCGCTGTGGTGGGCGCCAGTAATCCCAACTACTCGGGAGGCTGAGGCAGGAGAATCACTTGAACCCGGGAGGCGAAGGTTGCAGTGAGCCAAGATCGCACCACTGTACTCCAGCCTGGGCAACAAGAGCGAAACTCCATCTCAAAAAATAAAAAAAAGGAAAAAAAGAAAATAAAAAATTAAAGTGTTATATCCTTCTCACTTATGCATGACCATTATAGTATCTTATTTAATGGAATTGCATCTAAGAATGAAAATATTTCAAAGAAACAATCCAAGAAGTAATCCTGGAAGGGTGCACTGAACTGGGTTGAAGGAACATGGCTTTTGAATCATGCAGATATAGGCTTATATTCCAACTCTTCTGTACTCCTGTGACCTTCCTTGCACAAGTTACTTCACCCGTTTTAGCTCTAAGTTCAATATGTAAAATTAAGGGTGATAATTCCATAACTAACTTGGTTGTTAGAAGAATTACATCAGGGAAATAACTAACGGATGCTAGGCTTAATATTGGAGTGGCAGAATAATCTCTACAACAAACCCCCGTGATACAAGTTTGCCTATATAACAAACCTGCATATGTACTATTGAACTTAAAATTTAAATAAAAAAAGAATTAGAAATAATATAACGTGAATCACGTGACATATAGTAGATTGTTATTGTTATTGTTGTTAAATGAAATGAATTATGGCCTAAGGCTTTCACCTGCTTAGATATTTCCTGAAACTATTCCAATATAGTAACCACTAGTGACATACTGAAACTGATTCTTGTGATATCACTATCACTGAAATGGAATATTTATTTTAAAAATCCATTGTATGAGTAATAAATGTCTTGTTGACATAAAAATGTCAGAAAGCCAGTATTTATCAATTATAGCCTCACATTTATTAGACTGAATGGAAACTTTATTTAAATTTTAATAAGTTTATAACAGAAAGCACATAGCTTTTAATTTTACCACTTCCTACTTTTGGTCCTCAATAATTGATTCAATAAGGTAAGTGCTCTAATTCAATAAGTCCAAAACCTGAATGCATTTTTTTCAGAAAGTTAGTTTTACTCTGAAAATATAATAAATATTAACTGTGAGCAAAAGAAGGAGGCTTACATACTTAAGTCAATCCTGATTGTATGCATATAATGGAAATCAAACAACTTTGTGACAGCATCATTAAACCTATGGAACTTGCAATCGTTGTGTTATTCTTGTAGAATTCTTTTTGGCACAGCTCCCAGTAGTGTTGACATTAACATGGGTCATTTGTGTTATGACATTTTATGATGTGAGGATGCAGGTATGGAAGAATAATTTTGACATTAAAGCCACGCCATTCAGATTTATTTGCTCTTTATCTGCAAATACATGCCTATCAGGATATGTTGACTGTGATAAAATGACTTAACATTTAGAAAGTGACAGTATGGTTAATAAAATTGGGTCATTAATTCAAGATATGTGCATATGTTTCATCATGGAAATATATGTATTCAAATACAAAATAATCATAAATGTTATCAGCTTCCCCATTTAAATTTGATAATACAATAGGTAAGAACTTTTATACACGTGAAATATCTACTCTGCATAAATGAGCAACTTATGTTTAGGGATTAAGCTAGGATTTTTTAAGAAACAAATTTTTTGAAGATTAAGTTTAGCATTTAATAACTAATTGCACCTAATTATGTTTTGATCCACCCAATGCGAACTTGGAAAAAATATTCAAATAAAAAAACTACTATGTAAAAGTTTAATGAAATCAATTAGGAAAGTCAACTCTTTATAAAACTACTGACAAGACGTAAAATCTACTGATAAGACATAAAGGTAAATATTGTCTTGTGCACTGATGAAGTTAGGCCTTGAGGTAGATTCAAAATGAAAAGCATAAAACAAGTCTTCATAACAGTCTCAGCCTTTAAAATGAAAAAAATGCATTTTTCTTGTCCTCAATTTTACCTAGGGTTTACTCTCTGGTGGACACTTTGGAATACTCAAATAAATAACATGTAGGCTCCCTCCTCAAGAAGCTCCCATTTTAATGGTTCCCTGATATTTTCCTCCAGTTCTCAGTAACGTTTGATATAAGTGACCACTTACACACTGAAATTCTGTCTTGGCTTTGGGCACAAGAAAATATTCCAGTTTCTTCATATGCCTCTGAGTTGTATGTTTTGTTTTACTCTAGAGGATTTCAACTTAATGGAGACATCATCTCATTGCATTTCTACATAGGCTGTCGGTTGGCTAATCTTGCTGAGGAGTGGTGTTACGTAAAATTAGATCTTATTTAAATCTATACCAATTTGACTGTAATGAAGATTCACAGAAGTAATGTGCATGAGGACAGGAATTGTGTGAAAATCAAAAAGACAGTTTTATGTTTCATTTCCCAACAAAGGAACTTTATGTAGGCAGTATGATTTCTTCTACTAGCTTAGACTGACCCAGGGCCATGTCAAACTTAACTCTAGAACAGGGGACACTGCCTCCACCCAAGAAGAGTTTCCTTCCTCACTTCTATTTTCTCAGTCATCTGCACCATCTTCAAGGTTTGAGTTTTCAGAATCATCTTAAGCCTCCATTTTCCTTTTTCTTTTTCCAACTTCTCTGTAATCACAAGACTGCAAATTCTGAGGGTATTTCCAGAATTGAGAACTAGATGTAGGATTCTTTCCTATTAAATGTTTATTGGTGAGTGGTGTTCTAGGTTCACTAACTGAGTTAGACCTGAATATCTGAATCTCCGTTAGGAAATATTTGCCACAAAATACTAGATTTCTACACAGTGGCTCTGATGGTGATGGATATTCATATTAAGAGTTTGGCTAAAATTATTTCAATGAATTTGACAATGAAAAAAGTATATATAAAAACATAAATGTGGTAAATTATATGCATATAAATATGTACATACATAGGCTTTAAAATGTATTAAATGATATAAATAAATATTTACTGCTTCAAATATGCTACCACAAGAATATATAATCAGAGTCTGCAATTTTTGGATATTCTCTTTAGAATAAATAGATAATGAATTACCTTACACAAGCTTTCTATATTTAGGTATTTGTGGTTATAGGTACTCAATAAACATTGGATGACTAGTGATCTCTCTGTTAGATGTTTTATTGTATTCAAACATTTCCAGATGTTTTATTCAATTTTATAATATTATAACAGGAATAAAATGATTACTGCATTGACTACAAATCCAATTCATAAAACTCTTTGTGTTTTGTTACCATGTAGGGATTGATGTAGCTGATTATAGGTCTAAGTAAGTTCTTTCTCATTTATCAAGTTCTCTAAAGAAAACATCGTAGGCACATTTTAGAATTAAGGGAGGTTTTAAAAGTTAACTATATAACTTTTATTTTTTTTTTTTACTTTTTATTTTAAATTTTGGGGGTACATAGTATGTGCATGAGATATTTTGATACAGGCATGCAATGCATAATAATCTCATCATGGAAGATAGGGTATTAATCCCTTTATCCTTTGTGTTACAAATAATCTATGTATACTATCATTATTTTAAAATGAAAAATTAAATTATTATTGACTAGAGTCACTCTGTTGTGTTATCCAATACTACACTTTATTCATTAATTATAATAATTTTTCATATCCATTAATTATCCCCACTTCCCCCTCACTGCCTGACTACCCTTCCCAGACTCTGGTAACTATCCTTCTCTTCTCTATCTCCATGTCTTCAATTGTTTTGATTTTTAGATCCCACAAATAATTGAGAACATCTGACTTTGGTCTTTCTGTGCTTGGCTTATTTCACTTAATATAATTACCTCCAGGTTAATACATGTTCTTGCAAATGACTGAATCTTTTTCTTTTTGATGGCTGAATAGTACTCCATTGTGTAGTTGTATGACATTGTCTTTATCTATTCATCTGTTGATGGACCTACGGTGGCTTCCAAATCTTGGCTATTGTGAACAAACCTGCACAAATGTGGGAATGAAGATTATCTCTTCAAAATATTGATTTCGTTTCTTTTGGCTATATACCCAGCAAGGGGATTGCTGGATTTTGAGGTAGCTCTGTGTTTAGTTTTCTGAAGAAACTCCAAACTTTTCTCTGGAATGGTTGTACTAATTTACATTACCACCACAGTGTACAAAGGCTCCCTTTTCTCTATATTCTCAGCAGCATTTGTTACTGCCTGTCTTTTGGATAAATGTCATTTTAACTGGGATGAGATGATATCTCTTTATACTTTTGATTTGCATTTATCTGTTGATCAATGATGTTAAGTACATTTTCATGTGGCCATTTGCCATTTGTATGTTTTCTTTTGATAAATGCCTTTTCAAATATTTTGCCCATTTAAAAAATGAAATGAGAAATAGAAAACTACAAAAATGAAAAAACAAAACAAAAAATGGTGTGAGTTGATTGAAGGTAAAAAAAGAAACAAAATAAATATAAAAATTTTAAAAAGAAACAAATATTATGCCCATTTTAAAATTGGATTTTTAGATATTTTTCTACAGAGTTGTTTGAGCGCCTTATATATTCTGGTTATCAACCCTTGACAGATGGGTAGTATGCAAATATTTTGTCCTATTATAGGATTTGTCTATTTTCTTTGTTGATTGTTTCCTTTGCTGTGCAGAAGCCATGTATTCATTTATGCTTTAATTGCCTGTTCTTGTGGGATATTACTCAAGAAATCTTTGCCCAGACCTGTATCGTTCAGAGTTTCTTTGAAGTTTTCTTGTAGTAGTTTCATAGTTTGAGGATATAGCTTTAAGCCTTTATTATATTTTGATTTTATTTTTGTATATGGTGGGAGACAGATGTCTAGTTTCATTCTTCTGCATATGGATATGCAGTTTTCCCAGTACCATTTGTTGACAATACTGTCTTTTCCCCAGTGTGTGTTCCTGGCACCTTTGTTGAAAATGAGTTCATTGTAGGCCTGTACATTTGATTTTGGTTTCTGTATTCTGTTCCATTGGTCGATGTGTATGTTTTTAGACCAGTAACACACTGTTTTGGTTACTATGGCTCTGTAGTATAATTTGAAATCAGGTAAAGTGATTCCTCCAGTTTTGTTCTTTTTGCTTAAGATAGCTTTGGCTATTCTGGGTCTTTTGTGGTTCCATATAAATGTAAGGATTTTGTTTCTCTTTCTGTATGGAATATTATTTGTATTTTGACAGAAATTGCATTGAATCTATAAATTGCTTTGGGTAGCATAGACATCTTAATAATAATGATAATTCCAATTCATGAACATGGAATAGCTCTCCATTTTTTGGTGTCCTCTTCAACATATTTCATCAGTGATTTATGGTTTTCTTTATAGAGATATTTTACTTCTTTGGTTAAGTTAATTCCTTGGTACTTAATTTTATTTGTGGCTATTGTAAATGGGACTCCTGTTTTAAAATGTCTTGTTTCAGTTTTTTCACTGTTGGCATATAGAAATGCTATTGAATTTTGTATGTTGATTTTGTACTCTGCAACTTTACTGAATTTGTTTATTATTTCTAATAGGTTTTTTTGTGGAGTCTTTAGGTTTTTCTAAATATGAGATCATATCATTTGCAAACAAGGATAATTTGACTTTTTTATTCTAATTTGTATGCTCCTTATTTTTTATCTTGTGTGATTGCTCTAGCTGGGACTTCCTGTACTGTGTTCAATGACAGTGATGAAAGTGGGCATCCTTGTTGTGTTGCAGATTTTACAGGAAAGGCTTTTAGTTTTTCCCCATTCAGTATGATACTAGCTGTGGGTCTGTCATATATGGATTTTATTCTTTTGAGGTATATTCCTTCCATATCCAGTTTTTTGAGAGTATTTTATCTTAAAGTGATGTTAAATTTTATCAAATACTTTTTCACTATTGGTTGAAATTATCATATGATTTTTGTCCTTTATTCTGTTGATGATGTGTTCTACTTGATTGATTGTATGACATACATTGCATACATTAAACCATTCTTGACTCAACAGGGATAAATCTCACCTGGTCATGATTAATGATCTTTTTACTGTATTGCTGAATTTGGTTTGCTAATATTTTGTTAAGGATTTCTGCATCAATATTCATCAGGGATATTGGACTGTAGCATTCCTTTTTTATATTTCTTTGCTTTCAGCATTAGGGTAATAGTGTCCTCATATAATGATTTTGGAAGAATTCCCTCCTCCTCTATTTTATAAAATAGTTTGAGTAGGGTTGGTATTAGTTCTTCTTTAAATATTTAAATATTCAGCAGTAACGCCATTTGGTCCTGGGCTTTTCTTTATTGGGTGACTCTTTCTTATGGTTGTGGTCTTGTTATTTGTTATTGGTCTGTTCAGGTTTTGGGTTTCTTCCTGTTACAGTCTTGGTCAGCTGTATGTGTCTAGGACTTTGTCCATTTCTTCTAGATTTTCCAATTTATAGGTCATCGTAGCTACTTGTGATCATTTGAATTTCTGCAGTATCAGTTGTAATGCCTTCTTTATCACCTCTGATTTTATTTATTGTATCTTCTTTCTTTTTATCTTAGTCTGGCTAAAGGTTTGTCAACTTTGTTTATCTTGTCAAAAAAGCAACCTTTGTTTTATTGATTTATTTATTTCAGTTTCATGTATTTCTGCTCTGATGTTGATAATTTCTTTTCTTCTATTACTTTGGGATTTCGCTTGCTCTTGCTTTTCTCTTTCCTTAAGATGGAATGTAAGGTTGTTGGTGTGAAGATTTTCTTCTTTTTGAAGTATGTACTTACAGCTATAAACTTCCCTCTTAGTACTGCTTTTGGTATATTTGATAGGTTTTGATAAGTTGTGTTTCCAATATCATTTATCTCAAGAATTTTTTCAATTTCCTTAATTTATTCATTGAACCACTGGTCACTCAGGAGCACATTTTTAAGTTTTCACATATTTGTATAGTTTCCAAATACCTCTTGTTATTCTTGTTTTATTCCATTGTAGTCAGAAGATGCTTGATATAATTGAATGTTTATATATAATTGAATGTTTTAAGACTTGTTTTGTGACCTAACATGTGGTCTGTCCTTCAGAATGATCCATGTGCTGAGGAAAACAGTAGGTATTCCATAGCCATTAGATGAAAACTTTTGGAAATATCTATTAGATCCATTAGGTCTATAGTGCAGATGAAGTCTGATGTTTTTTTCATTTTCTGTCTGGAATATCTGTCAAATGCTGAAAGTGGGGTTGAACTCTCCAGCTATTATTATCTATTGGCCTATCTTGCTCTTTATTTCTAATATTTGCTTTATATATCTGGGTGTTACAGTGTTTAGTGCAAATATATTTACAATTGTTATATCCTCTTGCTTAATTGACCCTTTTATCATTATATAATGACCTTCTTTGTTTCTTCTTATAGTTTTTGTATTGAAATCTACTTTTTTTTGATACAAGTATAGCTACTCCTGCTTTTTTTTTATTTCCATTAGCATGGGGTATCTTTTTCCATCCGTGTATGTTCAGTCTATGTGCATCTTTATAGGTGAAGTGTGTTTCTTGCGGCAACAGATCATGGGATCTTTGTTCATCCATTCAACCACTCTATATATTTTGATTTAATACTTTAGTCCATTTACATTCAATGCTATTATTGATAAGTAAGGATTTACTTCTGCCTTTTTAAAATTTCTTTTCTCATTGTCTCCTCTTTCTTCTTTCTTTTCTTCCTGTTTAATGAGATGATTTTCTCTGGTAATGTGATTTTGCTTCTTGCTTTTTATTTTTTGTGTATCTGTCATATGTTTTGTGGTTTGTGGTTACCATGAGGCTTGCAAATAGTATCTTATAACCCATTATTTTAAGCTGATAACAACTTAACACAGTTTGCATAAACAAGCAAACAAAAAAGAAACAAGCGAAAAGAAAACTAATAAAGACTCTACACCTTAACTTCAGCCCCTCGCTTTTTAACTTTTGTTGTTTCTATTTATATCATATTGTACTCTATGGCTTTGTAGTTATTATTTTTGATTGATTGATTACTTA
Source organism: Homo sapiens (assembly GCF_000001405.40). Classification (NCBI taxonomy): domain Eukaryota; kingdom Metazoa; phylum Chordata; class Mammalia; order Primates; family Hominidae; genus Homo; species Homo sapiens. The sequence goes on from NC_000023.11 coordinate 36,097,245, forward strand.
GTCTTTCTATTTAAGATAAGAGTAGTTTACACACCACAGTTACAGTGTTGTAATAATCTGTGGGTTTTTTTGTGTACTTACTATTGCCTTTGAGTTTTGTACCTTCAGATAATTACTTATGGTTTATTATTGTCCTTTTCCTTCTGTTTGAAGTATTCCTGTTGGCATGTCTTGTGTTGATGAAATCTCTCAACTACTGTTAGGGGTCTAGTAAAGTCTTTGTTACTTTTTCATATTTGAAGGATAATTTTACTAGATATTCTATTTTAGTGTAAAAGTGTTTTTTGTTTTGTTTTTTTTCTTCAGCACTTTAAATATGTCATACCACTCTCTCCTGGCCTGTAATGTTTCCACTAAAAAGTCTACTGTCAGACATATCAGAGGTTCATTATATGTTATTTATTTCTTTTCTCTTGCTGCCTTTAGGATCATTTCTTAAAATTTTTGATATTTGGGAGACTGGTTATTTAATGTGTTGAGGTAGCCTGCTTTGGGAGTTTTATTATTAAATGGCTTGAGGTAGTCTTCTGTGGGTTAACTCTGCTTGGTGTTCTAACATTCATTCGGATATTGGATATTTGGATATTGATTTGGGATATTGATATATTTCTCTAGGTTTGGGAAGTTCTCTGCTATTATCTTTTGAATAAACTCTTTTCCCCGGCTCTTTCTCTACCTCCTCTGTAAGGCCAGTAACTCTTAGGTTTGCCCTTTTGGGGCCATCCTCTAGATCATGTAGGTGTGCCTCATTGTTTTTATTCTTTCTTTTTTTGTGTCCTCTATCTATTTTTAAATAGCCTGTCTTCAAGCTCACTTTTTCTTCTGCTTAATCAATTCTGCTATTAAAAGACTGATGCATTCTTTAGTATGCCAATTACATTTTTCAACTCCAGAATTCCTACTTGATTTTTTTAAATTATTTTAATCTGTTTGTTAAACTTATCTGATAGAATTCTGAATTCCTTCTCCACGTTATGTTGAATTTCTTTGAGTTTCCTCAACATACCTATTTTGAATTCTCTCTCTGAAAGGTCATGTATCTCTATTTTTCCAGGAATGGTCCTTGGTGCCTTATTTATTTGGTGAGCTCATGTTTTCCTGTATCATCTTGATTCTTGGAAATATGTATCTGTATTTGGGCATTGAAGAGTTACAATTAGCTGGTGGCAAAGCCAGCCAAGCCTATATCTTTCCTTTAAGGCTTAGAGTTCCCCCAGACCCCAGGTGGGTCCAGAGGTGCTGTTCAGAGCAACGGACTAGAGTTAAAAAAAACTAGAATTCCACCTGGTGTTATATTGTACTGTGGCTGAGCTGGCACTCAAACCATAGGACACTTTCTTTTCACTCTTCCCTCCCCTTTCCAAAGGCAGAGAAGCTTCACCCAGTGGCCACTGCCACCTCTGGCTAATTATATAACTTTTAAATTTGAAAAATAAAATCTAGCATATATACAAATGTGACTTGAAATATTTAATTGATGGTCAATGCAAATCATATATAGAACATGTATATTATATTATAATTTGAGTTTTTCTTTTTTAATTTTAGTGCTCAAGGAGGATGTATTTCACATGTCCTGCCAGAATTTTTGCTTGAACCAGAAGATTATAAGAGGTGGATTGAAATTATGGTAAGAAAATATAATTTCTTGGAACAAACCACACAGTTATTATTGTATGTACTGGTATTTGGCCTATGTTAGAATATTCTACTTCAGACTGTTGAGTTTTATATGCAAAATATTATTAGGATCATAATTTTTGGATAACCCATATGTTTTTGTACATTTGTCTAAAAATCTCTATGGAGTTCCTATGCAAAAAATGATTACATGGCTTTCTTAAATATATAAATAATTCCTACTTTGGAGAATTTATAAATGAAGAATAAGGTGGGGTTATGTAAATTTTATTCTTAAACTTTTAGAATACATATTTTCCAAAGAAAATACTGGTTTTATTTCACCACCATGTGCCACTTTTCTTCTTCGTTTTCAGGGGAAAATAGAAATGTAGCAAGAAATATATAGTTTTGTCATAATATATAGTTTACTTTGTGGTAACCTACTGAGAGGGGAGTGGTCTTTGAGGAGTCTGCAGGCTTTGAGGCAACTATGGTTGTAGGACTCTCACTATGCTTGCCATGTGACATGAGTAGAGAACCAGGTGCCTGCCTGTTCTTTGGCACTATGCTGAGGTCCTGTTGCCTTATCCAAAGGGTGTGATTCTTTCTTGGCTCAGCAATCAGAAGAACTTCGTATCGTGTTCGGCCACTTATTCTGCAGAGTGATCTAGTAGGTGCGTTGAATGAATAAATGTATGATCTAAATAAGAGACTGTGTGCTCCATAAAGTTACCTGTGGTGATATCTTCTATTATTGGCACATTGCAAATTAGAGCTCTTGATTAAAGTATAGAAAAGGCATCCACATGTTTTGAAAAAAAAAACTCATATGCTAAATTTGCCTTAAATTTTAATTAATGTTGTACTATTTTATTTCTTAAAGTCTTCCACTAATACGATGCCTGTGAGTTCCTGTACACCTAAGAAAAAATGTTCTATTGTTATAGAAATGTCTAAATTTGAAGCCTGGAGTAAACGGGCATGGACAGATGTATTTCTACAGATATACAAGGTAACATTTCCATTATTGTTCGCTGCTTCTCTGTTGATTAATATGAATCATATGTTAATTAAAGTATAGACAATGCTGCTATGAAAGATTCAAAAACACAGTGCCTTAAATGAGAGATTTTTTTTTATTGCTTTCTCATGGAACTGCTGAGATGTGAGAGGGTCAAAGCTTCTGGAGTATCTCTTTCCTCCTCAGTACTAGGCTTTCATGTATGGGTCTGATTTCTCTGAAGAAGGAAGAGCAGGTAAAGGAGTACTGGAGGCAAGGAGTTACCTTTTAAGGATGTGACCTGTGAAATATGTCTTTTTCATTTCAGATTTCATTAGGCAGAATTCAGTCATACAGTCATATCTAACTGCAAAAAAAGTTGAGAAATACAGTCTCTAGAATGAGTAGCTACAGGAATATTCTAGTACTAAAAGGGAGAATTAAAGAATGAGTACTGGTGAAAATTATTGTCTCCACATCTAATACACGGTAGTCTCTTGCTATAAAACTATATTCACTAAGATTCATACAACTATAGGCAAAAGGTTTTTATGAGATTCTCGAACTTACTTCCTGCCAAATTGCATTTGTGGGTAGATTAACATAGCGTAAATTATACCTCTATACTCTGTACCCTTATTGCATAAGCAAGTCCTGGTTTCAGTGCTTGAATAATTCCTTAGGTTTTCAAATATAGCACTATAGATCTTGTCCACTAGGACCAATGGAGGCTTTTGTTCTGTCTTCACACCTTGCAACCCCAGACGGGTGAGCTGTAGGACTGAGAGTTAGAACAAGGGAGGAATTGAATAGAATCAGGAATTAGTGACTCAAAGGAAAGGGCAAAATTAAGAGCTGAATAGTGAGTAGTATGTGTAAGACTCTGTCAGTAAATTTTTTAATATTAAATCCTCACAACTGAAATCATCAATTTAGCAATGAAGAAACTGAGTGTCACAGGCGCACATTCTTTCTTTCAAGATCACATGAATTTGACCATATGCAACAATTTGATGCAGGTAGTGCTTATTTCTTCCATGTTGTTCTCTGCTGGGGCCCAGGAGTCCAGGGCCCTCATGTTGCCCCCTGGCAGTCTGAAGTCTCCTTTGGAGTCAGCCACCCAGATCACCCTCTGGAGAGTTCCTTCTTCTGCATGATTCCTGACTTGCTCCTCCTGTGCTTCTCTTTTTCACCATCAACCTGAACTATCTTTCTTGCTGAATGTAAGAAGAGTATTCTTGTGCAAAAATTCATTTCATTGGTGACTGGTTGTTAATGCTGGAAATATGATCCTTTGCACTGTTAGTCATATAGGGCCTACTCTGCTTCACCAGAAGCATGGTCTTGGGTTTGGTTTGATAATCCAAACTGTGAAATACAGTAGATTTTACACAGCAACATGTTAACTTAGTTTTAAGGAAGTACAAAAGATAGTTATAACACAGAATGCACACCAACAGCGAAGCCAAGAGCTGTGACTCAAAGCATAGCTTCCAGTGTCCCACTGACTTCACACTCACGTCAGAAATGGTTACAAGAAGTGGAATATGGTGGGCAAGGACCATTTCAATACAGGAAAGCCTTCAAGTCTGAGAAATCTTTTCAGTTTTCTAGTCATGCAGCACCCTCAGAGTAATGAGCAATTTCTCATTACTCAATACAAAACACTGACAATGAGGTATGAGCGCTTGATCTGGTACACTATCCTCATCTGGATTCTCAAGTAACTTGGATGTCCTATAAATGTATTGCTATACATTTCTTTAGTTAAGGGGGTTTAAAGAGACTCCAAATAAGTGTTAAACCATCAGGCGTCTCTAAATCTAAAGGAAAGATCATACATAAACTGACAATTGATTCTTTTCTTTGGGTCAACATAAGCCTAGTCAAGATGATTCTTCAGAACAAATCCAAATATCTCATTAGTCTCAAAAATACAGAGATTTTTATGGACAAGTAAAAATGAACATTATGTTTTCTAAGCCAGTGGGTTAAAAGAACACATAATTTAAAAAGTTGTCATTAATAAACAATAAGCCAAATATAATAGCAAAGTTCATGTGAACCTGAAAGTGCATATGATAGGGGTGGGATAGCGCTCAATATATGTAAATGTATACTATTAGTAGTAGTTTTGTCATTGTTGTTCTGAAGTCTTTTAAATGTCCCATAGTGACATAGTGGGATAGCCCAGGACTATGTTCTATTTTGTGGCCAATGTATTGACTTTAAAGGGTGCTATTACATTTCTTGAATCAAATCTTTAACAAAAATGAAAGATAATTCGAAACAATGTTTTCTGAGGGCATGAAAGAATTTCCTGAGTATGGATCACAAAATTTGATTTACCCAAATTTCATCTTAGCTGGCACGGCTCACAGCACATTCTTGCCTCTGTAATTCTTACTCCATTCCTTCAACTCATGCTTGGTGTGGTTTGCATGTTAATGGATAAATAGTAACACTTATTGCCCCAGGTGTATTTGGATTTGCAAGTGATGGAGTCTTGGACTTTGCGTACATTTTAATTCTTCGTTTTATTTTTCTAGCAATTTATTTTCAGAGTATTTTACAAAACTATCATTCTGTGGTAAAGAGAAAATTAATAAGTTTTTTTTTACCACCGATAATTTCAGAAACACTGCTGTAGAATTAAGCACTCAGTGTAATGGCTCTTCCAATACTAAAGGTTACAACCATGCTCCATATGGGTCCATCATTAAATCAGTATTCTTAGTCAAGGGTCACTTGCAGATCTTGTCTTATTTGCAGAGTAGAAGTGACAGATGACAGATGAATCCTGAGCCAGTTCAGGTCATTAGTCCCAAACATATATCTCATCAGCTGTACTCAAGTAATTTATCATTTGGTATTTCCCAGAAATAAACAGAAATTGATGGGGGTCCTTTTCAAAGGCTTTAAATTGCATTTTTATAATACGTGAGATTTGAAATGTAGGACTTCTAGACCACAAAACTGCCAGAATGAAAGAAGGCAGTTCCATTAAACATCTATACAAAATGCTAAAATGGTGCAATTCACATATGCTAGATAAATAGCTAACATTCAGAAATGGATTTTTTTAATCAAATTTTGAAGTACTTCTTATAGTGGTAAACAAAAGAACAGTTTTGGATGCTCATAGGTATTTTAACAATCTGTATACTGTAGTTATTTGAAACACTGTATGGCATAAATATGCATTACTTAGAAAAAGAGCACTTTTTCAGTTACTATTCACATGTACTTGACTGTAAGAGTACTTGTCTTAGGTTTGATTCCCCTAAAAGCAGACACTGAGACAAGTATTTGAGTGCAAATCATTTATTTCAGAAGTGCTCCCAAGAAGCATCAGTAGTAGAGTAGTGAATTAAAGCAGATAATATAATGAAGTCAGTAACAGTTGTGGTTTCAATCAGGTTTCGCTGTGGGCAACTGAAGCTCAATGCCACTGGGGACCAATAGGATACATTTTAGAACATGTCTCAGACTTATCTCAACTGACTAGTGAGGAATCTGGAGTAATTAACTACCAATTCCCTGACCATCTTTGGTAAGGGGCCGTTGCTGGGGTCATTATCTTCTGGCGCTCCTACCTTGCCCTCTGTGAGCTGAGTGTGCTCTCATATGCCAGAAAAAAAAAAAAAAAAAAAAAAAAAAAACATCCCTCAAGCAGAGACTTACAGGTTTTCACAATAAGCAAGCTTCAGAATGTAAAGGTGGAACTAAGGAGATATGAGCAGGGTATCAATAGTATCTTTATAGCACATATGACTCAAATTGTTGTGTTCATACCCATACCACTGGAAAACCATCTATTAAAGGTTTGGGATAAATCAAGGAGCTGAGCTTACACTGTGTACTTTAATGTGAACCAATGCTCCATTCGGAAACTCTTGAGATATATATAGTGAGGTAGCAGATCACAAGCTGTTCATCTCATCTAGAACTTGTAGACAATGGTTAGTAGAGTGTTACTTTGAGTAGCTCTGTACTATAGTACTTTACTGACAGACACAGAGTTCTTTTCATCTTAATATCGCTAAAATTATTTTTAAATCCAGTTGCATTGCTACCTAATAAAACATGTGGTGTACATGTAGTGAATGGTGATATGATGTGAATATACCACACTTTAAGTTATAGGGTAACAATAGGTCAAATGACAAATTGTGTACACTTTTATCATCTTAAAACAGACCTCTTAAATAAATGTAAGAAAATAATTTTTGGCTTGTTAACTTATTTACTTTTACTTTGGCTTTTCTAAGCTGCATGAGCTGGTAAGGAAATAAGAAAGGCATCTTACATCCTTGTGTTTTAAATGAATTTACATCCTAACAGAAATGTTCTTAAATGCAGTTATGTTTTAAATGTACAATAAGCCTCTTGTAAATTATACAGTGTAGTTCCTTAAGACTAAATACCACAGAAGCAAAAAGTTGTCAATTTAAAATGAGCATTATTGGGACACATCTGTTCTACTCTTTTACTTCTGATTGAATCCATTTAACCAGAAAATACTAGTGCCCTCTTTAATCTCCTGTCATGTTTTTTAAAATTTTCTCTTCAAATATTAATTTGCTATTTTTCCATTTGCATCTAATAAAAGTTATCTCTCCCAATTTCAGGTTTTGGTTCTATCCCGTGTAGTGCCATACTGCAGCAATAATATGCCCCCCATATGTGTGCAAAATACACCAAAAGTCAATCCTTGTTTTGCATCCAGCAACATATATTCTGATTCTGAAAGAATTTTGCTTAGTTGGATGAACATAAATTATGAGAATACTCGACATGTGATATGGAAAAACTGTCACAAAGGTGAGAAGTGATATTTTTCTTTAAACAAATTATTGCAAATTGTAGTGTGATGATGGAGAAGGAGCCATGGATACACAATCAACTCAGAATCCATGGATTCTAGACCCCTCTCCAACATTTACTTTCTGTTCTACAAAAATAATGCCTCCTTAACATCTTCAAGATATGTTTCCTCACATATAAAATGGAAATAATAAAAGGTGCTTCTTTAACTTATTTTGAAGAATAACTGATTTTAAAAGCATATGGAGGAACTCTAGAATGAAAGCATTAATCATTGCTGACATTTTCAACTGTATAGAGTATTAAATATATAGGTGACACTGCTCAAACTTAGTATATAACTAGTCGAGATCAAGTAAAATCTCCTAGAAAAAATTTCACATGTCATATGAGGATCATGTTGGAAATCACTAAGAGCAATAATGCTTCATGAATTCTTTGGAGGGTAGGTCATATTAGGTATTTCACAATGAAATAAAGTCATTTCACATCCTTGTGTTTTAGATGAATTTACATTCTAACAGAACTGTCCTTAAAATGCAGTTTTTTTAACCGAGTCATAAGCCTCTTGTAAATTATACAGTGTGGTGCTGAGACATGTTGGTGTTCACAGATAGTACTAAGGACAGTGCGCATGGCCATTGTTCCTTTAGCTTCAATTCAACTCCTTTCTTCCAAGTACATACAAACCTATTGTGTTCAAAGTAGACTGTTTTTTAACATGAAATAACTTTTTAATATCCAATATGCAGAATTTAATTCAAACTTTACAAGTAAGGGGAAGATTAAGAGTTCAGTTTAAAAATGAGACTTTGAATTATGATTGCCCTTAAATTGAAGGTGTTATTTTAGAAAACATTCAAGAAAACACCAAGATTGAAAAAGATATATTGACATGTTGGTATTTGAGAACAGCAAACATAGAATACTTTATTACCTTCTAATTGACATGCTGAAAATATCAAAATTTATCTTATAAAAATATATTTGCCCCATTAAAATACAAAACAAAGTACAAATAAATAATGCTAAGGTGAACTACACAAAAACACATAAAAATTAGTTTGATTATTGCAGAGTAACACTTTGACCAGGGTGTCATAAAATATGTGCATGTATTAAAAATTAACGTGTTAATTTGTTATAAAAGTATTATGGTTCTAATTTTACCAAAACAGTGGCCTATGCCAGTTAATTTCAAAGATTTTGCCACATTTTTCCCAAATAATATATTATAGACATTTACCTCCTTGCTGTTTTTTAGCACACTGAGTCCAATGCCTTTACAAAGCTTTTGTGCTTCCTGTTCCCTTTGACTAGACTATTATTTTACCAGATATCTTCATGGTTCCCTTTCTCATTTCATTCGAGTCATTGATTAAATGTCACCTTATCTGAGAAGGTTTATCAATATCTTCTCTAAAACAGGATATCCTTCAGTCCTACTCTTTCCTGCTCTATTTTTATTCTCAGCAGCACTTTTTAAATATAAATGTAATTGTAAACATAAATGTATTTGTTTATCATCTGTCTCTTCCAGTAGAATGTCACCTTCTGAATAAATTAGACAAGATTGCTCTTTGACTAATTAGGAATGTGACCTTCTTAATTAGCCAAGGAACAATCTTGTCTCATTTATTCCCAAAGCCTAGAACTGTGCCTAACAAAATAACAGACACATACTGTCTTAGCTTTGTCCTGGTATAACAGAATACCATAGACTGGGTAATTTATAAAGATCAGAAATTTATCTTTCACAGATCTAAAGGCTGAGAAGTCCAAGATTAAGGTACTGGCAGGTTCTATGTCTGATAAGGGCTGCTGTCTGTTTCCAAGATGGTGCCTAGACGATGCACACTCCAAACAAGAGGAACACTGTGTCCTCACGTGGCAGAAGGCACAAAAGAGATAAACTCCCTCCATCAAAGAACAATGTATTATTCAGCAGTAAAATGAAGTGAGCTATCAAGGCATGAAAAGACATGGAGTAAACTTATAGATGTATTACTAGGTAAAAGGAGCCAATTTGAAAAGGCTACATACTGTGCGGTTTCAACTATATGACTTTCTGGAAAATGTAAAACCATAGAGACAGGAAAAAGATCAGTGGATACTAGGGGTTAGCGGGGAAGGAGTGATGAATAGGTAGAGTACACAGGACGTTTAAGGTAGTGAAACTACTCTGTTTGATACTATAATTATGAATACATGTCATTATACATTTGTTAAAACCCATAGAATGTATAATATTAAGAGTGGGCCCTGATGTAAACTGTGAACTTTGGGTGATAATGGTTTGTTAATGTAGGTTCATCAGTTGTAATAAATGCACCACTGCAGTGCAAAAGGTTGATAGTGGGGGAGGATTGTGTGTGTGTGGTAACTCTCTGTAACTTCTGATTCATTTTGCTACAAACCTGATAATGCTTTAAAAAACTGTCTATTTAAAAATAATTTAGTAATACATTTTTAAAGCAAAAAATAACAATTCCATTGTTAGACTCATTAAGCAATATGTCTAATAAATATGAATCCATTGCTCTGATGACCTGTACAGTAAAAAAGTCCTTCAGAAAATTCATAAACTTCAGTCCATTGCAATTTATGTAAAATTATTTGTGTGTTTTAGGTAATCATTGATCTAAATTTCAAGTCTTTAATAATGTTAGATACAACTCATATTTTCTAAAATATTAATATAGCAAATATCTGTAAGCTCCGCACCAAGCTTTAAATCCTATGTGAGCACGTTGAAGGTGCTGAATAAATATCTCTTAAATAAATCAATGGCTAAATGGATGGTTATATAGATAAAGCCAAAAGAAGTTGAAAAGATGTTCAAGTATTTAAAACTAGTTGAAAAGCTGAACATCTGACAGGAACAGAGACAAGCCAACAGCTTATTATTGTATCAAATATTATACTTTTTCCCTTGAGGATATAATTAACCTATAAACAGTGTTCTATACAGACTTATTTTGTGTTGATGTGCTGATGTGCACTCTTGTCTTGGCTTTGTTCTTCTCATCTTATACATTCTCTCTTCTCCTCTGTTACTATTTTCCTTCATTTATTACCATATATAACATTCTTTCTTTTTGCCACATTACTTTCCTCAATCTTGCTATTTACCTAAGATTCTTATTTCTATATTACCTTTTTCTTACGTCTCTTTTCTTTTCAATATCTTCCTTTACGTGCCTTACACCTCTCCTTCAATCTCTATTTATTTATTTTTCCCTTGACCATTCAGGGAATAAACACTTGAATTTTAACTATGAGTGTTTCCAGAAGATACTGCTCACTGTGACTTCTGCTTAAAAATTACAAGCTTTTTGAGCATTAGAGTTGTTCAGATTCAAAGGGAGGCATTTCCTCTACCCTCTGATATACAGACACCATTTTTCCTCAGATTTCCTGTCTTGCCCTTGTATGCTAGCTAAAGCATTTTGGCTTTCTTTGTGGCTCTCAAGACCCTCCTTAGCATTCTCTGTTCAAGGTCTCTTTCCTTCATCACATTGATATTTTCCTTCTTCTGTCTTTGCTCCAAACCTCCACATTTTGGCCATCTATATCCTCTTGTGGTTTTAAGTTACTCTTCCAATGCCTCCCAGATCCAAATCTACCTCAGACCTACCTCCTCACCTCCAGTTCTGTATATCTTTCTCCTTATGAACACCTTCATTAAAATGTCCCATAAGCACCTCAAATTTCACTGGTCAAAAATCTAGGCATCCCTCCTTCTTACATCTAATTAATCACCAACCAACAATTTATTTTGATTCTATCCACAAGTTATCTTCTGAATCTACCTACTTTTTTCTAGCTCTTCTGTCACTTTTGTAATTTATCATTTCAATCAATGTCACCCTCTCATATTTACCACATCCAGTCCTGCCATTTGCCCATCTGTTGCTCACACAGCCATACTTAGTTCTTCATAAAACACAAATTTTAGCATCAGACTCCTGCCTAAAATCCTTTAATGGTATTTTATTCACTTCAATATCTACCATACCTTATAACCATAACTCTTTACATTGACTTTTGCACATTATACTTCAGCGCTGTAAACTATTGATTGGCTGCTGCTTCCTTTTTTTTTTTTTTTCACTTTTATTTTAAGTTCATGGGTACATGTTCAGGTTTGTTATATAGGTAAACTCATGTCACGGGGGTTTGTTGTATAGATTATTTCATCATCCAGGTATTAAGCCTAGTACCTATTAGTTATTTCTTCTGATGCTCTCCCTCCTCCCATCCTCCACCCTCCTGTAGGCCTCAGTGTCTGCTGTTCCCCTCTATGTGTCCATGTGTTCTCATCATTTAGCTCCCACTTTAAAGTGAGAACATGTCATATTTGTTCCTTCATTAGTTTGCTAAGGTTAATGGCCTCCAGTTCCATCCATGTTCCTGCAAAGGACATGATCTCATTCTTTCTTCTGGCTACATATTATTCCATGGTGTGTATGTGCCATGTTTTGTTTATGCAGTCTACCGTTGATAGGCATGTAGGTTGATTGCATGTCATTGCTATTGTGAACAGTGCTGCAATGAATATATACCTGCATGTGTCTTTATGATAGAACAAATCATATTCCTTGGGTATATACCCAATAATGAGATTGCTGGGTTGAATGGTAGTTCCATTTTTAGGTCTTTGGGGAATCACCACACTGTCTTCCACAATGGTTGAACTAATTTACACTCCCAGCGACAGTTTATAAGTGTACCTTTTTCTCTGCAACCTCTCAAGCCCCTGTTACTTTTCGACTATATTTTTTTATTTTTTATTTTTTTGAGATGGAGTCTAGCTCTGTCACCAGGCTGGAGTGCAGTGGCACAATCTTGGCTCACTGCAACCTCCACCTCCCGGGTTCAAGCGATTCTCCTGCCTCAGCCTCCTGAGTAGCTGGGATTACAGGCACACGCTACCACGCCCAGCTAATTTTTGTATTTTTAGTAGAGACGGGGTTTTACCATGTTGGCCAGGATGGTCTCCATCTCCTGACCTCGTGATCCACCCACATCGGCCTCCCACAGTGCTGGGATTGCAGGCCTGAGCCACCGCGCCCAGCCTACTTTTTGACTTTTTAATAAGAGCCATTCTGACTCGTGTGAGATGGTATTGCACTGTGGTCTTTATTTGCATTTCTCTAATGATCAGTGATGTTAAGCTTTATTCATATGCTTCTAGGCTGCATGTATGTCTTTTGAAAAGTGTCTGTTCATGTCCTTTGCCTACTTTTTAATGGGTTGTTTCTTTTTGGCTTGTAAATTTAAGTTCCTTATAGATGACCTTATATTCCTTATATTAGACCTTTGTCAGGTGCATAGATTGCAAAACTTTTCTCCCATTCTGTAGGTTGTCCGTTTACTCTGTTGGTAGTTTCTTTTGCTGTGCAAAAGCTTATTAGCTTAAACAGATCCCATTTGTCAATTTTTTCTTTGGTTGCAATTGCTTCTGGTGTCTTTGTCATGAAATTTTTTCTCATTTCTACATGAAGAATGGTAGTGCCAAAGTTGTCCTCCAGGGTTTTTATACTTTTGGGTTTTACATTTAACTTTTTAATACAATTTGGATTAATTTTTATATATAGTGTAAGGAAGGGGTCCAGTTTCAATCTTCTGCATATGGTTAGCCAGTTATTCTGTCAGTATTTATTGAATGGGGAGTCCTTTCCCCATTGCTTTTTTTGTCAATTTTGTCAAAGATTAGATAGTTGTAGGTGTGCGACCTTATGTCTGACCTCTATTCTGTTCCATTGGTTTATGTATCTGTTTTTGTACCAGTCATCCCCTTTTTGTTACTGTAGCCCCTTTGTATAGTTTGAAGTTGGATACAGTGAAGCCTCCAGCTTTGTTCTTTTTGTTTAGGATTGCCTTGGCAATTTGGGATCTTTTTTGGTTCCATATGAATTTTAAAATAGTTATTTCTAGTTCTGTGAAGAATGCCATTGGTAGTTTTATAGAAATAGCATTGATTGTATAAATTGCTTTGGGTCATATGGTCATTTTCACAATATTGATTCTTCCTATCCATGAGCATGGAATGATTCTTCCATCTGTTGGTGTCATCTCTGATTTCTTTGAGCAGTGTTTTGTAATTCTCCTTGTAGAGATCTTTCACCTTCCTTGTTATTCCTAGGTGTTTTATACTTTTTGTGACAATTGTGAATGTGATTACATTCCTGATTTGGCTCTTGCTTGACTGTTGTTGGTGTTTAGAAATGCTAGTGATTTTTCTGTATGTTCCTTTTGTGTCTTGAGACTTTGCTTAAGTTGTTTATCAGCATAAGGAGTTTTTGGGTTGAGACTAAGGAGTTTTTTACATATAGAATCGTGTTGTCTGGAAACAGGAAAGATTTGACTTCCTTTCCTCCTATTTGGATATCCTTTATTTCTTTCTCTTGCCCAATTGCTCTGGCTAGGACTTCCAATACTATGTTGAATAGGACTAGTGAGAGGGCATACTTCATCTGTGCTGGTTTTCAAAAGGAATGCTTCCACCTTTGCCCATTCAGTATGATATTGGCTGTGGGTTTAATATAGAGAGCTCTTACTATTTTGAGGTATGTTCCTTCCATACCCAGTTTATTGAGAGTTTTTGACATGAAGTCATGCTGAGTTTTATTGAAAGCCATTTCTGCATCTATTAAGATAATCATGCACTTTTTCTATTTAGTTCTGTTTATGTGATTCATCACATATTTTTATTTGCATACATTGAATTAATCTTATGTTGCAGGGATAAAGACTACTTGATCATGGTAGATTAGCTTTTTGACATGCTGCTGAATTCAGTTTGCCAGTATTTTGTTGAGGATTCTTGCATCGATGTTCATCAAGGATATTGGCCTGAAGATTTCATTTTTTTGTTGTTGTTGTGTCTCTGCCAGGCTTGGTATCAGGATGATGCTGGACTCATAGAATGAGTTAGGGAGGAGGGCTTCCTTCTCAATTTTGGGGAATAAGTTCAGTAGAAATGATACCAGCTCTTATTCATACATCTGGTAGAATTTGGCTGTGAATCCATTTGGTCCTGGGCTTTTTGTGGCTGGTAGGTTATTTATTTCTGATTCAGTTTTGGAGCTCATTATCGGTTTGCTCAGGGATTCAATATCTTCCTAGGTCAGTCTTTGGAGGGTGTCTGTGTCCAGGAATTTATCCATGTATTCTAGATTTTCTAGTTTATGTGCTTAGAGGTGTTCATAATATTCTCTGATAATTATTTTTATTTCTATGGGGTGACTGATACCCTTTGTAATTTCTAATTGTGTTTATTCAGATCTTCTCTCTTGTCTTCTTTATTATTCTAGCTAATGGTCTATTTCATTGTTTTTTCACAAACTCAACTCCTGGATTTGTTCATCTTTTGAATGGTTTTTTGTGCCTCAATCTCCTTCCTTCAGTTCAGTTCTGATTTTGGTTATTTCTTGTCTTCTGATAGTTTTGGGGTTTGTTTGCTCTTGACTCTCTAGTACTTTTAATTGTCATGTTAGGTGGTTAAATCGACATGTTTCTAACTTTTCATGTGGGCATTTAGTGCTATAAATTTTCTTTTTAACATTGCCTTAGATGTTTCCCAGAGATTCTGGTATGTTGTATCTTTTTTCTCATTAGTTTCAAAGGACTTCTTGATTTCTGCCTTAATTTCATTATTCACCCAAAAGTTATTCAGGATCAGGTTATTCAATTTCCATGTAATTATATGGTTTTGAGTGAATTTTTAAGTCTTGATTTCTAATTTTATTACTCTGTGGTCCAAGAAGTGGTTGTTATGATTTCAGCTATTTTGCACTTGCTGAAGCGTGTTTTGTGTCCAATTATGTGATCGATTTTAGAGTATGTGTCATGTGGCAATTAGAAGAATGTATACCCTGTTGCTTTTGGGTGGATAGTTCTGTAGATGTCTGTCAGGTTCATTTGATCCAGTGCTGAGTTCAGGTCCTGAATATCTTTGTTAATCTTGTGTCTTGATGATCTGTTTAATACTACTAGTAAGTTGTTAACATCTCCCACTATTATTGTGTGGGAGTTTGTCTTTTTGAAGGTCTCTAAGAACTTGCTTTATTAATCTAGGTGCTCCTGTGTTGGGTGTATATTAATTTAGGATAGTTAGGCATTCATGTTGAATTGAACCCTTTACCATTATGTAATGCCCTTCCTTGTCTCTTTTGATCTGCTTTGGTTTTGTCTGAGATGTAGATTGCAACCCCTACTTTTATTTTTGTTTTCCATTTGCTTGGTAGATTTTTCTCCATCCATGTATTTTGAGACTATGGGTGTCATTGCATATGAGATGAGTCTCTTGATGACAGTATACCAATGGGTCTTGGTTCTTTATCCAGCTTGCCACTCTGTGCCTTTTAATTGGGGCGTATAGCCCTCTTACATTCAAGGTTAGTATTGATATGTGTGGCTTTGATCCTGTCATCATGATGTTAGCTGGTTATTATGCAGACTTGTTTGTGTGGTTGCTTTATAGTGTCACTGGTCTGTGTACTTACATGTGCTTTTGTAATGGCTGGTAAAGGTCTTTTCTTTCTATATTTAGTGCTTCTTTCAGGAGCTCTTGTAAGGCAGGTCTGGTGGTAACAAATTCCAACATTTGCTTGTCTGAATAGGATCTTATTTCTCCTTTGCTTATAAAGTTAATTTGGCCAGATATGAAATCCTGGGTTAGAATTTCTTCTCTTTATGAATATTGAATATTGGCCCCCCATCTTTTCTGGTTTGTGGGGTTTCTGCTGAGATGTCTGTTGTTAGTGTAATGGGCTTCCCTTTGTAGGTGACCTGACCTTTCTCACTAGCTGCCTTTAACAATTTTTCTTTCATTTTGACCTTGGAGAATCTGACAATTATGTGTCTTGTGGATTACCTTCTTGTGAAGTACCTTACTGAAGTTCTCTGCCTTCCCTAAATTTGAATGTTGGCCTCTCTAGCTAGGTTGGAGAAGTTCTCATAGATGATACCCTGAAATATGTTTTCCAAGTTGTTTACGTTCTCCCTGTCTCTTTCAGGGACACCAGTGAATCATAGATTTGGTCTTTTTATATAATCCCATATTTCTTGGATGTTTTGTTCCTTCCTTTAAATATGTTTTTCTCTATTCTTGTCTGTCTTTTTTTTTTTTTTGGAGTCTCGCTCTGTCGCCCAGGCTGGAATGCAGTGGCACGATCTCGGCTCACTGCAAGCTCTGCCTCCTGGGGTCACACCATTCTCCTGCCTCAGACTCCTGAGTAGCTGGGACTATAGGCGCCCACCACCATGCCCAGCTAATTTTTTTGTATTTTTAGTAGAGATGGAGTTTCACCGCATTAGCCAGGATGGTCTCGATCTGCTGACCTCGTGATCTGCCCGCCTTGGCCTCCCAAGTCTGACTGTCTTAGTTCAGAAAGCCAGTCTTCAAGCTCTGAGATTTTCTTTATAGCATTGTCTATTGTGCTATTAATACTTGTGACTGCATTATGAAATTTTTGTAGTATGTTTTTAAGCTCTATGACGTCGATTACATTCTTTTCTATACTGCCTATTTTGTCAGTCAGCTCCTGTATTACTTTATTATGAGTCCTAGTTTCCTTGGATTGTGTTTCAACATACTCCTGCATCTCCATGATCCTTATTCCTATCCATCTCTGAATTCTATTTCTGTCATTTCAGCCAACTCAGCCTGGTTCATAATCCTTGAGAAGTGATGCAGTAGTTTGGGGAAAGAAGGCACTCTGGCTTTTTGAGTTGTCAGAGTTCTTGAACTGGTTCTTTCAAATTTTTGTGGGATGATGTTTCTTCAGCCTTTAGAGTGGCTCACCTTTGGGTGTTTTTTCTTTTTTCTTTTATCTTATTTTATGACCTTGAGAGTTTGATTGTGGTATAAGGTGGATTCAGCTGATTGGCTTCATTTCTGGAAGATTTTAGAAGGCCAGCGCTCAGCTCTCTACTCCTAGACTGCGTGCTCTAACTCTGGGGAATATGTGCCAGGCCCTGACTTTGTTCTCTGGCTCCTCGAGTTTAGGAATGGACTGCACTGGGTGGGGGTGGAGGATGAGGTGCTCCCAGACTGCTGGTCACTACACTCTGGTGAGTAGTGTTGGCTGAAGGCTTTCATAGTGCAGTGGCAACAGGATCCTTCCTAATTTATACGTGCCAGCAGCAGCACGATGGGGTGCATGCATATCAGCTGCATTAGGGTGCTAGTGGGTGCTGGGATTCCTGCCTTCATGCAAGTGTTCACTCCAGTGGTGGAGGCAACTTGGCTTTGGAGTGCAAGGAGGCCCCTACTGGTGACTCTGTCTGCTTCTTTCTGCATTTAAATTTTATAGTACTTTTTGCTTTGTCTGGAATCTCTTTTCAGTGTCTCCTTATCCTCACAATTCAAGTCTCATTATAGACATCAGCTCTTCTAGGAAACCTTTCCACAATCTCCCCAAGACTAGATGGAATACATCTTCCTTGTCTTGTAACATACTTTATGTAAGCTTATTAAAGTGTTTGTCATATGGTTTTCACATTTGTTTCTACTTGTTTCTCTCTCCCATAGTAATTTAAGTCCTTTATTGCAGAGGTTTTTCTAGTTTATTATTAGCAAAAATAAAAAATCATAATCACAAAAATATTGAATATTTACTAAGTGGTTCTATGGTAAGCTCTTTACTCATATTATTTATCACAACACTTGGAACATTATTGTCAAATAAACATCTGTAGAGAGTTTTTATTTCTAATGTTAAAAATATTTATGAGGATAATAAAAATCAAACAAGTCAATATTGTTTGGCAAGGTACTACATCACCATAGTGTCTGTGATGAGAAGTTATTGTATTAAAATTTGACATAATATGTACTATGCTAATCAAGCACTGGGACCTTCCAGAGATTCAGGCAGGTGAAACTGGAGGGTGGCATGACCATTATGAACTTCATCATTTATTTATTTTGAAGTTTCCTATGTATGGAGGGAGGAACAGGATACAGTTATGGACAAAATTAGGTTTTTTTAAAAGCTGATATTTAAACTGTGGATTTATATATGAAAATAGCTAACAGATATAAAATTGGAATGTTTATTACCTTTACTAGAGCCATTTCCATAGCATTCCTGTGCACTGAAAATACATCTCTCCTCACAAAAATTGATTCATCACAGATATTTCAGAAGAATAACTGCATCTAATAGGACATAAATCTGTAGTTTTTCATCTGGAGATAAAGAGTAAATAACTCTCTGAACTCTCAACTTTTCTTTATAGTTTGAATAAATCAACCCATCTCTTTCTCTCTCCTATCAAGTTATTTGTTTTGAAATAGACCAAGTAGTATGTTAGACATTTTTTCACACTGTAACCGTTGCAGTTTCTTTTTTGAGTTAAATTTAATTTTATTTTAGATTCAGAGGGGACTTGTGCATTTTTGTGACATGAATATATTGCATACCAGTGGGGATTGGGCTTCTGGTGTGCTTATTACCCAAATAGTGAACATTGTATCCAATAGATAATTTTACAATCCTTGACCTCCTCCCACTCTCAACCCTTTTTGAGTCTCCAGTGTCTGTTATCTCTATCTTTATATCCATGTGCACCCATTGTTTAGCTCCCACTACAAGTGAGAACACGTGGTATTTGGTTTTCTGTTTCTAAGTTAGTTCACTTAGCATAATGGCCTCCAGCTCCATCCACGTTCCTGCAAAGGACATGATTTCATTCTTTTTATTGCTGGGTGTGGTTCGAATTTCAATATACATTTCCTTACAATACGTTTAAATATATAATAGTTAACGAGCTTAGGTGTTTTGGTGAGATGCCAGTTGGGCATACCAAGAATTAGTCAGAGAATAAACTGATTAGCTGGTTCAGAATTTTTTGTTTAGTGGACATTTTAAAGCAGTGTGGAATAGCATTAAATTAGCCTTTTTCTTATTTTTAGTTTTTGTGAGTGCACAGTAGGTGTATATATTTATGGGTTACATAAGATATTTTGATACAGGCATGCAATATGTGTTAATTATATAATGGGGTATCCATCACCTCAAGCATTTATCCATTGTGTCACAAACAATCCAATTATATTCTTAGAGTTATTTCTAAATGTACAACTAAATTATTTTTGACTATAGTCACCCTGTTGTGCTAGTAAATACTAGGTCTTATTAATTTTTTCTAACTATTTTTGTACCCATT
Organism: Homo sapiens; assembly: GCF_000001405.40. Classification (NCBI taxonomy): domain Eukaryota; kingdom Metazoa; phylum Chordata; class Mammalia; order Primates; family Hominidae; genus Homo; species Homo sapiens. The sequence goes on from NC_000023.11 coordinate 36,116,875, forward strand.
AACACTCCCCACTTCCCTCCCACTCCTCCACTACTCTCCCTAGCCTCTGGTAACTATCCTTATACTCTATAGTCCCATGAGTTCAATTGTTTCAGATTGCAACTCCCACAAATAACTGAGATCATGCAAAGTCTGTCTTTCTGTGCCTGGCTTATTTCACTTAACACAGTGACCTCCAGTTCCATCTATGTTTTAGTAAATCACAAGACTTTGTTCTTTTTATGACTGAATGGTTCTCCATTGTGTATATGTATCACATTTTCTTTATTCATTCATCTCTTGATGAGCACTTAATTTGCTTCCAAATCTTGGCTGTTGCGAACAGAGCTAAAACACACATGGGAGTGCGGATATCTCTTTGATATATTGGTTTTCCTTGTTTTGGGTATATATCCAGCAGTGGGATTGCTGGATCATATGGTAGCTCAATATTTAGGGTTTTAATGAACTTCCAAACTGTTCTCCATAGTGATTGTACTAATTTACGTTCCCACCAGCAGTGTAGGTGGATTCCCTTTACTCCACATCCTCGCCAACATTTGTTAGAATCTGACTTTTGGATAAAAGCCATTTTAACTGGGGTGAGATGATGTCTCATAGTTTTGATTTGCATTTCTCTGATGATCAATGATATTGAACACATTTTCTGTTTGCCATTTGTATGCTTTCTTTTGAGAAATGCCTATTCAAACCTTTTGCCCATTTTTTGATTGGATTATTCCATTTTTCTTATAGAGTTGTTTGAGCTTCTTATATATTCTGGTTATTAATCCCTTAACAGATGGGTATTTTTCAAACATTTTCTCTCATCCTGTGGGTTGTCTCTTCACTTTGTGAATTATTTTCTTTGCTGTGCAGAAGCTTTTTTACTTAATATGATTCTATTTGTCCATTATGCTTCGGTTGCCTGTGATTGTGGGGTATTAATAAAGAAATTTTGACACAGATCAGCATTCTACAGTTTTCCTTAAGTTTTTTTGTAGTAATTTTATAGTTTGAGGTCTTAGATTTAAGTCTTTAATCCATTTTGATTTGATATTTATATACGAAAAGAGATTGGTCCAAGTTTCATTCTTCTGCATATAGATATCCACTTTTTTCAGAACCATTTATTGAAGAGACTCTCTTTTCCCCAGTGTATCTTCTTAACACCTTTCTCAAAAATGAGCTCACTGTAGATATGTGGATTTGTTTCTGGGTTCTCTATTCTGTTCCCTTGGACTATGTGTCAGTTTTTATGCCAATACCATGCCATTTTGGTTACTATAGCTCTGTAGTATAATTTGAAGTCAGATAATGTGATTCTTCCAGTTTTGTTCATTTTGTTTAGTATAACTTTGGCTATTCTGGGTCTTTTAGAAATTTTAGAAATTTTAGAATTGTTTTTTCTTTTTATTTGGAGAATGCCCTTGGTATTTTCATAGGGGTTGCATGGAATCTGTAGTTTGCTTTGGGTGGTATGGACATTTAAAAGATATTTATTTCCCCAACCCATGAACATGGAATATCTTTCCATTTTTTTATGTCATCTTCAATTTCTTTCAAAAATGCTTTATCATTTTCATTATAGAGACATTTTACATCTTTTAATTAATTTATTTATTTATTTTTTTGAGATGGAGTCTTGCTCTGTCACCCAGGCTGGAATGCCGTGGCGTGATCTTGGTTCACTGCAAGCTCTGCCTCCCGGGTTTACACCATTCTCCTGCCTCAGCCTCCCTCCTGAGTAGCTGGGACTGCAGGCACCCGCCACCATGCCCGGCTAATTTTTTTGTATTTTTAGTAGAGATGGGGTTTCACCGTGTTAGCCAGGATGGTCTTGATCTCCTGACCTTGTGATCCACCTGCCTCGGCCTCCCAAAGTGCTGGGATTACAGGTGTGAGCCACCGCGCCCATGCTAGAAACATTTTACATCTTTAGTTAAGGAAATTCCTAGGTATTTAATTTTATTTGTGGCTATTGTAAATGATATTACTGTTTTTATTTCTCCTTCAGATTGTTTGCTATTGGCATGTAGAAATGCTACTGATTTGTACTTGTTGATTTTGTAGTCTGCAAGTTTACTGAATTTGTTTTTCATTCTAATAGTTTTTTTGAGGAATCTTTAGGTTTCTCCAAATGTAAGATCATATCATCTTCAAACAAGGATAATTTGACTTTTTCTTTACCAATTTGGATGCTTATTACTTTATTTTCTTGTCTGATTACCCTAGCTAGGATTTACAGTACTTTGTTGAATGACAGTGCTAAAAGTGAGTATCCTTGTTGTGTTCCATACATCAGAGGAAAGGCTTTCAGTTATTCCCCATTTGGTATGATACTAGCTTCGGGTCTGTCATATGTAGCTGTTATTATGTTATGTCCCTTCTATACTCAGCTTTTTGAGGGTTTTTATAAGGGATGTTGAATTTTATCAAATGCTTTTTCAGCATCAATTGAAATGGTATTTTTTTAATTCTTTATTCTGTTGATATGGTGTATCACATTTGTTGATTTGCATATGTTGAACCATCCTTACATCCCAGGGATAAATCCTCCTTGGTCATGATTAATGCTGTTTTTAATGTATTCTTGAATTCAGTTTGCTAGCATTTTGTTGAAGATTTTTGCATCAATATTCATGAGATTTATTGGCCTGTAGTTTCCTTTTCTTGATGTGTCTTTCTCTGGTTTTGATATCAGGGTAGTATTGGCCTTGTAGGATGAGTTTGGAATTATTCCATCCTCCTCAGTTTTTCAGAATAATTTAAATAAGATGGATATTAGTTCTTTAAGTGTTTGGTAGAATACAACAGTGAATCCATCAGGTTCTGGGCTTTTCAATACTGGGAGACTTTTTATTATGGCTTCATTCATGTTACTTGTTATTGGTCTATTTAAGTTTTGGATATCTTCACGGTTTAAAGTTGGTAGGTTATATGTGTCAAGGAATTTGTCCATTCCTTCTAGATTTTCCAATTTATTGGCATATAGTTGCTCATAGTGTCTTCTAATGATCTTTTGAGTTGTTGTGGTATCAGTTGTAATGTCTACTTTTTCATCTCTTCTTTCTTTCTTCTCTCTTTTTTTCTTAGATGGTCTGTCTAAAGGTTTGTCAATTTTGTTTACCTTTTCAACACATCAGCTTTTTTTTTTTTTGATATGGAATCTCGCTCTGTTGCCCAGGCTGGAGTGCAGTGGCATGATCTTGGCTCACTGCAAGCTCCGCCTCCCAGGTTCAGGTTCATGCCATTCTCCTGCCTTAGCCTCCCGAGTATCTGGGACTACAGGTGCCTGCCACCACACCCAGGTAATTTTTTTTTTTTTGTATTTTTAGTAGAGACGGGGTTTCATCATGTTAGCCAGGATGGTCTCAATCTCCTGACCTCATGATCCATCCACCTTGGCCTCCCAAAGTGCTGGGATTACAGGCATGAGCCACCACTCCCAGCCCACATTGCCTTTTTATTTTGTTGATCTTTTGTTTTATTTTCTTCATTTTGAATGAATTTATTTCTGCTATGATCTTGATTATTTCTCTTTTTCTACTAATTTTAGGCTTGTTTTGCTCTTGCTTTTCTAGTTTTTTAGTATGCATCGTTAGGTTGTTTATTTTAAGTTTTCCTGTTTTTAAGGCAGGCACTTGCAGCTATGAAATTCTCCGTTACTACTATTTTTGATGTATCCCCTAGGTTTGGTATGTTGTTTCCATTATAATTTATTTCAAGAAATTTTTCAATTTCCTTTGTAATTTCTCCATTAATCCACTGGTCATTGAAAACATATTGTTTAATTTCTATGTATTTGTATAGTTTCCAAAATTTATCTCATTATTCCTTTCTCATTTTATTCCATTGTGTTCAGGGAAGATGCTTGATATGATTCATTTTTTTTTTTTAAAGTTTGAAGGCTTTTTGTGCCCTAACATATAATCTGTTTTTGAGAATGATCCATGTGCTGAGGAAAACAATGTGTATTCTGTAGCCTTCAGAGTAAATGTTCTGTAACTGTCTATTAGGTCCATTTTGTCTATAGTGCAGATGAAGTCTGATGTTTCTTTGTTGATTTTCTGTCTGGAAGAGCTGTCAAAGCTTGAAAGTGGGGTGTTGAAGTCTCCAGCTGTTATTATATTGGGTTATATCTCTCTCTTAAGCTCTAATAACATCTGCTTTACATATCTGGGTGCTCTAGTGTTTGGTGCATATATACTTACAATTTTTTTGCCTCTTGCTGAATTGACCAATTTATCATTATATAGTGACCTTCTTTGTCTTCTGATAGTTTTTGTCTTGAAATCTATTTTGTCTGATGTAAGTATAGGGACTCTTGCTCATTTTTGGTTTCCATTGGCATGGAATATTTTTTCCACCCCTTTATAATTTTAGTCTATGTGTACCTTTATAGGTGAAGTGTGTTTTTTTCATCATCAAATCATTGAGTATTGTTTTTTATTATCTATTCAGCCACACTGTATGTATTGATTGGAGAGTTTAATTAATTTACATTCAATATTATTATTGATAAGTAAGTACTTACTCCTGCCATTTTGTTGCTTGTTTTCTGGTTGTTTTTTGGTCTTCTCTTTCTTCTTTCTTTCCTTTTGGTCTTCTCTTAGCGAGGGTGATTTTCTCTGATTATATGATTTAGTGTTTTGCTTTATATTTTTTGTGTATCCATTGCATGTTTTTTGGTTTGAAGTTACCATTAGGCTTGCAAATATTGTCTTATAACCCATTATTTAACTTGATAACAACTTAACACTGGTTGCCTAAACAAACAAACAAGCCAAAAGAAAGCCCTTAAGAACTCTATGTCTTAACTTCATCCCTCCCCATCTTCTGAACTTTTTATTGTTTCTTTTTATATTGTATAGTACTGTCTATGTCTTGTAATGTTTTTGTAGTTATTAGTTTTAATTGGCTCATCATTCAGTCTTGATACATTGAAAGTGGAGTTTACACACCACTTACAATGTTATTATACTCTGCATTTTTCTGTATGCTTATTATTACTAATTTGTTTAGTACCATCAGATGATTTTTTTATTGTTCATTAACATCCTCTTCTTTCTGATTGAGTTACTCCTTTTAGCATTTCTTGTAGAACATGTATGGTGTTAATGAAATCCCTAAGCTTTTGTTTGTCTGATAAACTCTATTACTCCTACATGTTTGATGGACATTTTTGCTGAATATACTATTCTAGAGCAAAAGGTTTTTTTTTGTTTTTCTTCCTTTTTCCCTTTATTACTTTAAATATGTCATGCCACTCTGTCCTGGCCTATAAGGTTTCTGCTGAAAAGTCCACTGCCTGATTTATTGGAGCACAATTGTATGTTATTTGTTTCTTTTCTCTTACTGCTTTTAGGATTCTGTCTATATCCTTGATCTTTCGAAGTTTGATTTTTAAATTGCTGGGGGTAGTCTTCTTTGGGTTAAATTTGTTTGCTGTTCTATAGCCTTCTTGTACTTGGATATTGATATCTGTCTCTAGGTTTGGGAAGTTCTCTGTTATTATCCCTTTGAATAATCTTTATACCCGTATCTCTTTCTCTACCTCCTCTCTAACGTCAGCAACTCTTAGATTTGCCCTTTTGAGGTTATTCTCTACGTTTTGTAGACATGCTACTTTTTTTTCATTTTTCTTTTGTCTCTGCTGACTGTTTATATTCAAATAGCCTATCTTCAAGCTCAGTAATTCTTTCTTTTGCTGAACAATTCTGCTATTAAAGGACTTTGATGTATTTTTTAGTATGCCAACTGTATGTTTCAGCTCCAGAATTCTACTTGATTCTTTTTAATTATTTTAATATTTGTTAAACTTACCTGATATAATTCTGAATTCCTTCTCCATATTATCTTGAATTTCTTTGAGTTTTCTCAAAGCATCTATTTTGAATTCTCTGTCTAAATGGTCACCTATCTGTGTTTCTCTGTGATTTGTACTTGGTGATTCATTTAGTTCATTTGGTGAAGTCATGTTTTTCTGAATAGTGTTGATGCTTGTATATGTTCTTCGGTGACTGGGAGTTGAAGAACTCTTAACATTTATTGTACTATTCTCAGTCTGGGCTTGTTTGTACCCATACTTCTTGGATTAGCTTTCCTGATACTCAAAAGGACTTCAATGTCATGTTCTAAGCTGTATCTGCTTTAGGAGGCACCCAAGCCCAGCAATGTTATGGTTCTTGCAGACTCATAGAGGTATTGCCTTGATGGTCTTGGACAAAATCCAGAGGAATTTTCTGGATTATCAGGCAGAGACTCTTGTTCTCTTTCTTTACTTTCTCCCAAGCAAATGAAGTCTTGTTCTCTTTTCTGAGATACCTGAAGCTAAGGGTGTAGTGACACAGACACCTCTGTAGTTACCAGTCTTAGGACTGTGGTGAGCACAGCACTGGGTCTTACCCAAGGCCTGCTGTAACCACTCCCTAGCTACTGCTTGTGTTTGCTCAAGGTCCTGGGTCTCTACAATCATCAGGTGGCAAAGCCATCTAGGATTATTCCCTTCTTTTCAGGGTGGTGAGTTCCCCCAGGTCCCAAGTGTGTCCAGGGGTGCTGTTCAACAGCCAGGGACTAAAGTCAAAAACCTTTATAGTCTACCTGGTGTCCTATTGTATTGCAGCTAAGCTGGCACTAAAACTATGAGACACAGTCCTTCCCACTCTTCCCTCCCCTCTCCGAAGGCAGAGGAGCCTTACCCTGTGGCCACAACCACCACAGGCTCACAGTGAGTACTGCCAGACCACTGATGTTTTTTTTAGGCCCAAGGGCTCTTCAGTAAGCTTGTAGTAACTTCTGCATGGACTGGGACTTCCCCTTCAGAACTGTGGGTGCCCTTTTGTCCCAGAGCAGGTTGAGAAATGCCATCCAAAAGTCAAGTTCTGGAATCGGGGACTCCAGGAGCCCACTTGGTGCTCTATCCACTGTGGTCATGCTACTGTCTAAGGTGCAAGACAGAGGTCTCTTTACTGTTTCCTCTGCTTTTCTTAGGTGAAAGTAGTCTTACCCCATAGCCACCACACCTGGGGATGTGCTGAGTCTCACCTGAATCCAGCAAGTCTCAGAGTCTCATCCAAGTTCCTCAACATTGTACCTGGGTATCACTGCTGGTTATTCAGGGCCCAAGGCCTCTTTGGTTAGTGGTTGATGAATCCTGCTAAGTCTAGGACCTTCCTTTCATGGCAGTGGGTTCCCTTCTGGCTCTGGATGTGTCTAGAAGTAGTGTCCAGGAGCTGAGTTCTAGAAAGAGGACCTCACAACTCTGAAAAGTTCCTTATCCTGCTGTGCCTGAACTGGTATTGAAGATGCAAGACAGGGTTCTCCCAACTCTTCCCTCTCTTCTCAGGTGGAGGGAAAGAATCTCCTTTGGAGCCACAAAAGCTATGCAGCATGGGGTTAGGGAAGAGGTGATGCCTACAGTGGTGTCTCGATAGGTTGCAGCCCCCAAGTCTTCTGGCTCTGAGTACGGTTCAGCACTAGGACTTGCCTGGGAGTTCCCGTCCTTGTGGCCTATATTGCCTTTCAAGTTCACCTAGGGTCCAAGAGGACTTTAGTCTGTGATGGTGAGCCTTGTGCAAGCTCAAGTTTTGACCACTGTGATTGGTGATTCCCTTCTGGCTATGCTTGGTTTATATGTTCCCTCTGTGTCTGGTCATCAGCTGAGTTCAGTCCAGTTTTGTTTTCTATTATAACAGGGCAGCACTGAGTTCAGTGCTTCACAATTGCTGCAATATCCCTCTCCCCAGTGCACAGAAATGCTCTCTGCCCCACACTGCAACTGCCAAGGCTTAGGGGAGGGATGGTGTCCACAATTTAAGATTGTTTTTCCTACCTCTTTATTGCCTCTTTTAGTGATATGAATTTAAAGCCAGGTTCTGTGAGTGTTCACCTCATTTTTGCTTCTTATGAAGATGTTTCTTTTGTGTAGATAGTTGTTAAATTTGTGTCTTTGCTGGGGGATGATCAGTAGAGCCATTTATTCTGCTATCTTGTTCCACCCTCGATTCATAAAAAATATATATTTTAAAATTTTAGGAATATTCACAATTGAATTGAACACAATAGGGAACTCAGAACAATGAATGTATATAATAGAATTTAGTATAATGAGAGTGACATTTCAAAATCCATAATAAATATTACTTCAGTCAGTAAATAGAGCTAGATCAATTGGCTGATACTTTGGAATACAGGTAAAATTATCTCTGTATTACATACCATATACCGAAAATGAATAAATAAATGCCAAGATTGTAAATAACTTGAAGGAAAAATAAGTGAATCATTATCTGATTTTTGTATGATAATTTATTTAAAATAATCCTCACAAGGACAGAAGCCACTAAAACTATTATTTGGTTAACAAATATCTATTAATCACCAATTTATATGTTTAGCACTGTTCTAGGGATTAGAGATGTAGTAGTGAACAACAGAGCCCAAATCCCTTCTATCATGTCAGATAAATTCTAGTAAAAAGAAGCAAGTCAGCTGCATCGGCCCTGGAAATTAGTCTAGTCTCTTGAGTAGCAGGTGGAAATGTTTATCACTCACAATACATTCACAAGCTGATTAAATAAAATTTTTATTATATTTATAATTGGAATTCTTGGTTGATTATTGAACTACAAAAAATCAAAAGAATTATAAATATTACATAAATATACATATACACATCCACATATAATTTAGCATTTTTTAATATAGAAAAATACATAAGTAAATATATGTTTATTCGCCAACTGTTTTATCAATGTTTCCATGCCTGACTCCAGTGATTTACAATTTAGCTGTCTTCTGTCCTTAATCCCATTATCAGGACAAACTGTCACCCTTTGTAATGGTCAGAGAAACAACAGTGTTTGTGATATCATTGTAAATAGAAAGTTAAGAACTATGAGAGACAAGCAACTATCATATTCCATAATGTTCAGAGTTATTGTGTAGATAATTCATTTTTGAAGAAATCTTACCTTTTAATGTATTGTCTAAATAGTACTCTCATTTCCTCTCACCTTCCTCCCTCAGTGTCATCATTTTTGCTACATTTACTATGCCTGCGTTATAAATATGTGTAACACTTATATTCTGTTACTACGATTCAACCATGTGTAATGTTACCTGGAACTTCCATTTTTACTGCATTTCACTATTAGATGGATAAATACCATAATAATTTTCTTTTTCTTTTTTTTTGCTTTTGTTTTATTTTTCCCTTCAAAATTATTATTATTATTATTATTTTATTATACTTTAAGTACTGGGGTACATGTGCAGAACGTGCAGTTTTGTTACATAGGTATACACGTGCCATGGTGGTTTGCTGCACCCATCTACCCATCACCCAATACCTAACATTAGGTATTTCTCCTATATGTTATCCCTCCCCTAGGCTCCCACCCCCTGACAGGCCCCGGTGTGTGATGTTTCCCTCCCTATGTCAACGTGTTCTCACTGTTCAAGTCCCACTTATGTGTGAGAACATGCAGTGTTTGGTTTTCTGTTCACGTGATAGTTTGCTGAGAATGATGGTTTCCAGTTCCATCCATGTCCCTGCAAAGGACATGAACTCATCCTTTTTATGGCTGCATAGTATTCCACATATGTATATGTGCCACATTTTCTTTATCCAGTCTATTATTGATGGACATTTGGGTTGGTTCCAAGTCTTTGCTATTGTGAATAGTGCTGCAATAAACATACATGTGCATGTGTCTTTATAGTAGAATGATTTATAATCCTTTGGGTATATACCCAGTAATGGGAATGCTGGGTCAAATGGTATTTCTAGTTCTAGATCCTTGAGGAATCACCACACTGTCTTCCACAATGGTTGAACTAATTTACACTCCCACCAACAGTGTGTAAGTGTTCTTATTTCTCCACATCCTCTCCAGCATCTGTTTTTTCCTGACTTTTTAATGATCGCCATTCTAACTGGCATGAGATGGTATCTCATTGTGGTTTTGACTTGCATTTCTCTAATGACCAGTGATGATGAGCATTTTTTCATATGACTGTTGGCTGCATAAATGTCTTCTTTTGAGAAATGTCTGTTCATATCCTTTGCCCACTTTCTGATGGGGTTGTTTTTTTCTTGTAAATTTGTTTAAGTTCTTTGTAGATTCTGGATTTTAGACCTTTGTCAGATGGATAGATTGCAAATATTTTCTCACATTCTGTTGGTTGCCTGTTCACTCTGATGATAGTTTCTTTTGCTGTGCAGAAGTTTTTTAGTTTAATTAGATCCCATTTGTCAATTTTGGTTTTTGTTGCTATTGCTTTTGGTGTTTTAGACATGAAGTCTTTGCCCATGCCTATGTCCTGAATGGTATTGCCCAGGTTTTCTTTGAGGGTTTTTATGGTTTTAGGTTTTAGGTTTAAGTCTTTAATCCAACTTCAGTTAATTTTTGTATAAGGTATAAGGAAGGGGTCCAGTTTCAGTTTTCTGCATATGGCTAGCCAGTTTTCCCAACAACATTTATTAAATAGGGAATCTTTTCCCCATTGCTTGTTTGTGTCAGGTTTGTTGAAGATCAGATGGTTGTAGATGTGTGGTATTGTTTCTGAAGCCTCTGTTCTGTTCCATGGGTCTATATATCTGTTTTGGTACCAGTACCATGCTGTTTTGGTTACTGCAGCCTTGTAGTATAGTTTGAAGTCAGGTAACGTGATGCCTCTAGCTTTGTTCTTCTTGCCCAGGATTGCCTTGGCTATGCGGTCTCTTTTTTGGTTCCATATGAAGTTTAAAGTAGTTGTTTCCAATTCTGTGAAGAAAGTCAGTGGTAGCTTGATGGGGTGGCATCGAATCTGTAAATTACTTTGGGCAGTATGGCCGTTTTCATGATACTGATTCTTCCTATCCATAAGCATGGAATGTTTTTCCATTTGTTTGTGTCCTCTCTTATTTCATTGAGCAGTGGTTTGTAGTTCTCCTTGAAGAGGTCCTTCACATCCCTTGTAAGTTGGATTCCTAGGTATTTTATTCTCTTAGTAGCAATTGTGAATGGCAGTTCACTCATGATTTGGTTCTTTGTTTGTCTATTATTGGTGTATAGGAATGCTTGTGATTTTTGCACAGTGATTTTGTATCCTGAGACTTTGCTGAATTTGCTTATCAGCTTAAGGATATTTTGGGCCGAGACGATGGGGTTTTCTAAATGTAGAATCACGTCATCTGCAAACAGAGACAATTTGCCTTCCTCTCTTCCTATTTGAGTACCCTTTATTTCTTTCTCTTGCCTGATTTCCCTGGCCAGAACTTCCAATACTATGTTGAATAGGAGTGGTGAGAGAGGGCATAATAATTTTATTTTTCTGATCACTTCAAGAATCTCTATTCTCTTAGTTCTCTTTGTAACTATCTTAGTGTGATTTATATGTGAATAGTATCTTACTAAGTATAAAATTTGGGGGTTATTATTTTTCTCTGAACACTGTGCACAGTGCCCTCACTATGTTATGCCTATAAAGTAGCTGTGAAAAACTGAGATCAGCCTGATAACTCCTACACTGTAAGTGAATTGCTTTGCGTTGTTCTGCACTTTTTTATATTCTCAAAATGAGTGAGGTTTTGAAGGATTTAAAACCTATTCTACAATATACATTTCTTTGTAAATTTGGCATATAAGATATTTTTGGTGCTCATTTAAATTCTACAATATTGCTTGAAACTCAGATATGAAGATGCTTTTTAGAATATTCTATTAACATAAATGCTCTTGTATTATACCTGATATTTTTGTATAATCTTAAACAGAGCATATTTAACATTTAATTATTAACTATGGTATTTACTATATGATTATTTTGCAGATTATTTTCATTACATCCTGAAAGTTATCTACTCTCCTTAGTTTTTCTAGGAATTTTATGATGAATAATATTGAATATATATATATTAATTTGTCAAATTAAATTTATTTAAAAATGTGAATTAACCTTGCATCCTGGCACAAACTCAAATTTTCCATGATAGTTAAATTATTTTTATTTAACTTACCAGAAAGAATATTTACTGTTATTTTAGTTGATTGCTTTAACTTACTTGAATGATAATTAATCTGTAATTTTTTTCTACCATTTTATTTTTTTTAATACATTTAATGCAAACCTTAAACAATTGCCTGGAGAACATTCTTTTTTTGGAGACATTGAAAGAGTTTCTGTGTTAGTGATATTTCTTGTTTTTTGAATTTTATGGTATTCACTGATAAGACCATCTAGATTTTTTTCTTTGTAGGATGATTTTAAACAACAAGTTAATTGTTTAATCGTTATAGGATTATTCTTATTTTCTGTTTTTCCTTGAATGAGATTTTGTAACATATTTTTGTGAAATTAATGAGCTTTATCTAAATTTTTATAATACTAGCACAAAATTATTCATAAATTATTGCATCTATTCTATTATATGCAACTTCTGTAATTGTTTTCTTTTTATTTTCAATTTTTTTCTTATAGCATCTTCTGTTTTAATTCAGTCTTTCTCCATAGCAATTTTTATCTTGATACTGAAAATATTTTACTTAATTTCCAGTTTATTGTTCACTTATGTAGAAGTTATATCAAGTATTATATACATTACTTTATATCACATTTCATGTGACTCATAACTATTATATGTGACTGATCTTATAATGATTTAGAGTTCACATATCTTCATAACTCAACTACCTTTACAAGCAAGATTATCTATGTCTGCATTAAAGAATATACCTCATTGCATTTCAGAAGTGTTTCAAAACAAAATTCGAAAATGCCCTATTATATTTTATGAAGATAGACATGGAAATCTGAAATTACTAGCAAATGGAATCCAGCAATATAGAAAAAGAATAAAATATAATCAGGAGATGAAATCTATCTTAGGAGTACAAAGTTGTTTTAACATAAATGCCAGTCCATGTAGTACATCATATTAATGAAATAAAAATGAGGAAAAAGGAATATTTCAATGGACACAGTAACAGCAAAATTATGTATCTAGCAAGAGACTTGTATGAAGAATATATAAAAAACACTTACAAGTCAGTGATAAAAAGACAACCCAATTTAAAAATGTGCAAAATATTTGAATAGACATTTCTAAAAGGAAAATAAGTAAATGACCCACAAGCACATTAAAAGATGTTCAGCATAATTAGTAATTTGGGAAATGCACAGCAAAATCACAGTAAGTTAGCATTTGGCACCAACTTCTGTAACTAAAATTTTTAAAAAGTCAAATGTAAAAGCTTCTGCACAGTAATGGATACAATCAACAAAGTAAAGAGACAACCCACAGAAATGGGAGAAAACATTTGCAAAATATTCATCTGATAAGGGATTAATGACCAGAATATATAAGGAGCTCAAACAACTCCATAGGAACAAAAAATTTAATAATCTGATAAAAAATGGGCAAAAAATTTGAATAGATATTTCTCAAAAGAAGACATACAAATGGTAAATAGGCACATGAAAAGGTGCTCAACATCATTGATCATCAGAGAAATGCAAATCAAAACTACAGTGAGATATCATTTAACCACAGTTAGAATGGCTTATATCCAAAAGACAGGCAATAAAAAATGCTGGTGAGGATGTGGAGAAAAGAGAGTCCTTGTACACTGTTGGGGGGAATGTAAATTAGTACAATCACTATAGAGAACAGTTTGGAGGTTCCTCAAAAAACTAAAAATTGAGCTGCAGTTTAATCCAGGAATCCCACTGCTGGGTATATATTCAAAAGACAGGAAACCAGTATATTGAACAGATATTTGCACTTAACAGTTTGTTGCAGCACTGTTCACCATAGCCAAGATTTGGAAGCAACCTAAGTGTCCATCAGCAGTTGAATAGATAAAAAAAATGTGGTACATACACACAATGGGGTACTATTCAGCCATAAAAAAGAACGATATCCTGTCATTTACAACAAGATGAATGGAACTGGAAATCATTATGTTAAGTGAAATAAGCCATGCACAGATAAACAAACATTGTGTGTTCTCATTTATTTGTGGAATCTAAATATCAGAACAACTAAAGTCATGGACAGAGAGTAGAAGAATGGTTACCATGGACTGGGAAGGGTAGTGAGAGGCTGGGGGAGGTGGGGATAGTTAATGGGTACAAAAAAGAATAGTTAGAAAGAATGAGACCTACTATTTGATAGCACAGCAGGGTGATTATAGTCAATAACAACTGTACTTGTTAAAATGGTGTTATCAGATTGTTTGCAACTCAATGGATAAATGCTTGAGGAGATGGATGCCCTATTCTTCAAGATGTGCTTATTTCACATTGAATGCCTGTATCAAAACATCTCATGTACCCCATAAATATATGCATCTACTATGTAGCCACAGAAATTAAATTTTTTGAATTTAAAAAATAAAGACTATAACAAGTGTTGGCAAGGATTCATAGAAATCGGAAACCTCATGTGTTGCTAGAGGGATTGTAAAATGGTGCAACCACTTTGCAAAACTGTTTGGTAGTTTCTCAAAATGTTAAAATTAGATTAACTAATGAGAGAGGTTATGCATGCATGGGGGCAGGGAGTATATGGGAAATCTCTGCACTTTTTGCACAATTTTGCTGTGAATGTAAAACTGCTATAAAAAAAAGTCTCTTGAGAAATAGATTAGCAATATGATTCAACAATTCCACTCATTGGTTTATACTCAAGATAATTGAAAATATATGATTACAAAAAACTTTTACATAAATGCTCATAGCAGCATTATTCACAATAGCCAAAAATTAGAAACACAAATATCCATAAAGAAAATGTGGTATATTCCCAAAGTGGAATGTTATTCAGCAATAAAAAGAAATGAAATACTTATACATGCTGCAACATGAATGAACCTTGAAAATATTATGCTAAATAAAAGACAACAGAACACAAAAGGGCACATATTTTATAATTTTATTTCTATGACATGTCCATAATAGACAAATCCATAGTGACGGAATGTACATTCATTTATGTCCATGGTATGAGGGAAGAGAGAAATGAGAAGTGACAATTAATGAGTATCAAGTTTATTTATGTGTTGATAAAAATATTTTAAAAGAAGATAGTAGTGATGATTGCACAGCTATATGACTATACTAAGCAACAATGAATTGAACAATTGAATTGCATGAAATTTGTGTTATGTGAATTATATCTCAATATAACTTTTATAAAAATGTACTGTTATAGTCATCTAACATAAAATTCATGTGACAATTATTATATTCAGAATAAGTAAATTGACTAATTTTTTCTAAAATTTCTGATTAAATTTTGTGTTTAACAAACACATCTCTAATTCATAATACTATAAAGACCAGTATTTTTATTGCTACTTAAATATACCTGAATATCAGAAGTGATGTAATATAAAACTGGATAAAAACATAACTTCCCAATTAAAAATTTTAAAAATGTGTGGAGCATCACTTGAATTTTCTGGTTTCTGACAAATGACAACTACATTAGACTGCTGGTTCTGTCTCCAAAAAAAGACAACCATTGACCAACACGTCTCAGACGATAATGTGAATACTTGGAGATTTTGCTAATATGTTTTTATATTTTGCTAGGTGTTGGGTGAGGCCAGAAATTCTGCATTTTCAACAAGCTTCCATTTGATGTAGGTGCTGCTGATTCACTTAGCTCACTTTGGGTAGCAAATCCTTAGAGGGAGTATAGAAGAGAGAGTAGCTTGTATCAAAGGAACTATCATAAAAGTAGAGAAAATCCTTGATGTATCAAAGCTGTGATAAACTGTGATGAGGGCTTGGCAGCAGCCTTGAGTATAAAAGACAAGATACAGGCATAGGATCAGAGATTAGAGAAGAGCTTTGAAGTTTTGTCTTTACTTTTTCACATCATCGCCTTGGAAGAATCATTGTCATCCTATTCTTACTGAGAGCCTTGTTTGAACAGCTACGGCCCATGCCTACTGGTATTCAACAAGTAAGAATATCAAAGCAGATTCAAAGTTGTGATGGGTTGAACAAAAATAGATGCCCTGGTTTCTACTCAGGGAGATAGAGAACTGGAAACTGTTTTCTTCCACCCTTATAACAACAATGAAAGTCAGACAAGCAGCAAATTCTCTGTTTTTCTTGAACCTTAACATAAAGCTGAGATTGCAGGGCAACAAAGAGAGACTTGGTTTTTACTGGAAGAAATGAGATGATAGCAATGGTCTACTTGTAGATAGAGCTAGACGCCATTAAGAATAGTTGAGTTAGGGTGATTGGCGTATTGGTAGAGGCCAAGTATACACTAGTGAGAGATCATGAAACTCCTAGTGGCCACAGTTATAGACTCTGCATCTTCTTGCAGGTGTTTACTCCACAAACTTCACATGTTGCTCACAGAAATGACTAAAGTGAGTCTGGAGAATGTGTACTCCTTAGTACCTAGTGTAGGGGCAGGCAATTCACTCCGACTTCTGTATATCTGTCTTAGTCCATTTAGTGTTGCTGTAACAGAATACTACAGATTGGGTAATTTATAAACAATAGAAGTTTATTTGGGTCATGACTCTGGAGGCTGGAAAGTCCAAGATAATTAGGTTGCATTTGATGAGGGCCTTCTTGCTGCATTATTACATTATAGTAGGCATCCCATAGCTAGAGAAGATGATAAAAAGTAAGAGCATGCAAGAAAGAGAGAAAAAGAGGGCCAGACTCCCAATGTAACTAACACACTCCTGAGATAACACCATTAATCCATTCATGAAGCCAGAGCTCTCATGATCTAATTACCTCCTAAAAGTCCCACTTCTATTGGTTGGTATTAACCATTGAAATGGCAATGAAATTTGAACATGAGATTTAGAGGGGACATTCAAACCATAGCAATACCTTATAGAACAGATGTGTTCATCTATGTTAATTTAAGGACAACAGATACTGTCCCCCAAAGGGCTCTGGTGAATACTCATTGCAGTTTAAAAAAAAAAAAGAAAAGAAAAAGAAAGAAAAAGGAAAAAAAAGAAAATAACAAACCACCTCTTGCCCCGAGAAAGGGGCTGGAATTCAACATTTCTGTCAAATAGAAAATCCCAAACAATCTATAAAAAGCTCCTAGAAATACTATATTCATTTATCAAAGTCAGAGGATATATGATCACTATACAATTAAATTAAATTATATTTCTATATATTGGCAGTAAACAATTGGAATTTAAAATAAAAATATACCATTTAACATAGAAGAAATACTTAAGTATCTAATATTAAGTACTTAGTATAAGTATGTATAACAAAATAAATTAGAGATATATATGCTATAAACTACAAAACACTGATGAAAGCAATCAGTGAGAAATAAATAGAGAAATATAGCATGCACATGACGTTGGAAAACTAAATGTTGTTAGGCTATCAAATTGATCTCTAGATTCAATTCAATTCCAGTGAAAATACCATCACATATTCTTATAGTCAATATCAGTAAGTTGACTCTAAAATATATATATAAAGGCATTGCCATTAAAATAGCCAAAACAATTTTGAAAAGGCGGAAGAAATTCTGAAACTACGATAATTAAGACTGGGTGGTATTGACAAAAGAATAGATGTGTAGATCAAAAGAATAGAATTGAGAGGCAAGGAATATATCTACACAAATATAATCAACTGGGTGTTTTTGGTTACAAAAGTGCAAAAGCAATTAAATCAAGTAAGGCTAGTGTTTTCAACAAATATTACTTGAATAATTGGAAGTGCATATGTAAAAAATGAGCATTGGCCTATACCTCACATCTCGTACTAAAATTATCTCAAAGTAGATCATAGATCTAAATGTAAACCCACACAACTTTTATATACATACATATATACACGTATATACATGTATACACATATCTATTTGTATTGGACTTTACCATATTAAAATTTCTGCTTTATGAAAGACTATTAAGAGAAAGAAAAGACAAGCTACAGACTGGGGGAAAGTATTTTTGAATAACATATTCCACAAATTTCTTGTATGCAGGATACATAAAGAACTCTCCAAATTCAACAACAAGAAAATAAACAACCAAATTTGAAAAATAGTCAAAAGTTCTGAAAAGATACATCACCAAAAAAAGATAGAAAGATAGAAAAAAGACATATATAAGTTGCCCAATACAATTACTATATAATCCAGAAATCTCTTTTCCAGCTGTTTCACCAAAATACATTAGAATTACCAAGCATCGTATGTTTTCACTCATAAGTGGGAGCTAAGCTATGAGGATGCCAAGGCGTAAGAATGATACAATGGACTTTGGGGACTCGCGGGGAAAGGGTGAGAAGGGAGTGAGGGATAAAAGGCTACCAACTGGGTTCGGTGAATACTACTTGGGTGCTGGGTGCACCAAAATCTCACAAATCACCACTAAAGAACTTACTCATGTAATCAAGTACCATCAGTTCCCCCCAAAACCTATGGAAATAAAACTTTTTTAAAAAAAGAATTGCTGATCACAATAAGCACTACATGAGATAATTTATAGCAGATTTTCCTAATTGCCTCTAAACTGAAGACAAACCAAATGCCCTTCAATTGGTGAATGAATACCTCATCTCTGTGACATCCATCAAATACAGTACTACTCAACAATGAAAACAACAACGACTATTGATTCACACAACATAGGTGCATCTTAAATGAATTTCACTAAGTAAAAGAAGCCAAAACAACAAGACCCCACAAGACTACATATTGATATTGTTTGATTCAACTTTTATGGCATTTTGGTAAAGGTGAAGTTATTGAGATTAAAAACACATCAGTGTTTGCCAGGTGCTAACAGATGACGGTAGGGATTGACTACAAAGGTGCAGCACGTTGGAATTTTGGGGGTGATCACACTTTTCTTTATGGAAATGTGATGGCAGGTACGTGAAAATGTATTCCTCAAGTTCCTATAGGTGTGTACCACAAAGAGTGAATGCTAGTGTAAGTAATTTTATAAAATCAACCAACATATGTAAGTAATTAAGGACAAAATGCAGGCTGTGGCAAATGAATATAACTGGGTTACAAATGTTGGACAACCTCACTGATGGTAATGAAAAAGAAATGAGCTTATTTAATGGTAAAGAAATATAACTGTGTAGTCTAAGACTAAAGGTGTAAAGAACTATACATACACACCTTACTCTAGTTTCTGACAGGGGTATGGCTTTGCAATTCTGAAAGCACTTTATATACATACTAGGGTTTAACCAATACATAAAAATATTGTAGATAATGAGATTGAGATTTTTCACTGTTAACAAAATAAGGTGGGGCGGGTGTCATAATGAATTCTGTGGTCCTGAGTTGTGATTGGTGGAGTGGGAAATAACAGGATAACAGTTAGTTGTTGCTGTATTGTTATGTATTCATTGACTTCTGCTTGGAGGATTTTTTTTTAATTCATTGTTTTCCTGTTATGGATGTGATTTTCCTGCAACAAGATATTAAGCTCCTTCAAGACAATTTCTGTCCCTCCTCTAATGTCTGTACAAGACAAGGATGTGCTATCTGGTGGATACAGTCTATGTCCACTGCTAACTGACTGATTCTCTATCAGTGTAAAAGGCTAGTAAATTATCTTTTTCAGATCAAAAGTTATCATTGCTTCCAGTCCAGAGAAAAATAAATATTAACT
Organism: Homo sapiens; assembly: GCF_000001405.40. NCBI lineage: Eukaryota > Metazoa > Chordata > Mammalia > Primates > Hominidae > Homo > Homo sapiens. The sequence goes on from NC_000023.11 coordinate 36,136,494, forward strand.
ACAAAAGTGAAATATTTTGCTTTTATTGATAGCTATGGGTGGCAAATATACATTCAGAGAAGCACATTTTACTTAGGTAAGAGAGTACATCTTAGGTTCTCACCACATACATATACACAAAATAGTGACTATGTGAAGTGATGAATATGTTAATTAGCTTGATTTTGGGAATCACTACACAAGGTATACTTATATCAAAACACAATTTATGTTCTATATACATATACTCTTTATTTGCCAATTATACATCAAAGCTGGACAAAAAAGAGAAGCACATGTAGGTTATCATTATTCAGCCAACTGAATTTAAAATCATTAATTCGATTACATTGAATCTTATATCAAAAATGTTATTTATAAGTTTTGATCAGGAAATAATACTTTGAAAAATACAGAAGTTGTTTGCTATGCATTAGTTGAAAATCCTTAGTGATCTGTGTTTACTAGACTGATTTTGTGACAATATGCTATAGAAATCCTATAGAAATGTTCAATGTCATAGCTTCTCAGATGAAAAAGTACTGGACATTGTCTGTGAAGTGTCCAGGACATCTGTGATTCAAGAGATAATTAAGTCTTCCAATTCCAGGTGTAAAGCAATCCCGGTTTTGAAGCTAATATACATGTCATGGGTGTATCATGTCATGGTTTTTCTTCTTCACAGAAAATGGGAGTAGAGAGATTTGAGGGAATTTATAAAGATCACCATTTGCCCCTTGTTTTCAGACAAGAAATTGTCTCACACCATGAAGAATCTAGGCCATTTGGAAACTTATTGAAAAAGAAAATGTCGCATTCAACATAGGGATTATTTCCACTGTTTAAAATTAACCTCCACCCAATATAGGTCAGTATTTCAGATATTCACTTAAAATTCAGATACTTCCTCTTTTTGTTCCAGACTCAGCGTAGTAATCATGTCTGTAATTGAGAATTCCTTTTACTACTCCTCCATCCTGTATTGCCTTTTATAGGTCAATTTTGGTTTCTTTAAGCCATAAATCTTGAATTCCTTTCACATACTTTCCTGCCACGTGGATGAATTTCTGCAAGAAATAAAGAAACTGGCACTAGCACTCTAAAGTTAAAAGTAACTCCATGCCTTTTCAGTCTCCTTACCCATGTTGATGATCATTGATTAAACATTTGAACCTCAAGGTACTCAACAGAATGGGTAATTTTGAAACATTGAATTTCTATTCCATTATTACACTGTAGTGTATTTTTCAAAGCAGCTCATATAGAAATAAAGAAGACAGCTTGCAATTGTTTATAAAGCCTTACAGGTAACTCTCATAGTATTAATCTTCTGAGACTTAAAATTTGTTTTTATTTCCAATATAATATACTTTTTGTTTCCCAAGCAGAAGCAAAATTTTCTTTTACTATTGCTCAAATTTCCATAGGTATCTTTTAATAAAGTAAAACTATTGTTGTATTTACTCTCCCTCTTTTTTGAAACAGATGTTATCCCTTCTGAGAGATGGATAGTAAATTTTGACAAAGACCTTTCAGATGGTCTTGTTTTTGCAACACAGTTGGGAGCCTATTGCCCATTCTTGGTAAGAGTCGTTTTTATGCATAATGATCTTCTATTATTTAAAAAAACTTAGTGATTAAAATTTGAAGTGTATTTTCTGTAAACAGATTATTTCGAATGTCTTACATTCAAGTCAAACACCTGAATCTGCATGGCCAGCACTACCTTTTTGTTTATTCTTGCATTTTGATTGCAATAATTTATTACTGACAAATATTAATATTTAAATGATTCTTTGCCTAACTATAGAGAACACTTAAAAAACAGAATTTTTTATTCCATTACCAAAAGGTTTGATTTTTTTTTTTTTACAGATTGAGTCTCATTTTATAAATATGTACACACGACCAAAAAGTCCTGAAGAGTATCTGCACAATTGCCTGATTATTGTAAATACTCTTTATGAAATTGACTTTGACGTGGAAATACAGGTGGGTGCCTTTATATTAAACATTCTACAAACATTTTATAAATTTCTTTTGATAGCTTGCTCATTTATAATATTGCTTTGTTCATATTTTTGAAATTTAAATTGAAACAGGCTTTTGATGAGACATTGCTAAAATGTAGAAATTGAAATATGACTCCACAGAAATCGACTGGATATTTTAAAATTTGTATAATTATATACATCCAGCTGTGCATAATAGGAAAGTACTTCCAGTCCAAGTGCCTGAAACCCCAAAAATAAACATTGAGTGAATTATAATCATTACTCAAAATCTAAGAATGAACTAAAAGAGCATATTTATTTAAATATAGATGTCATATTATTATCTTCTAATTTAGTAGCAAAAATAAATTTTCACTTTAGTATTAAAATAAATGTTTGTATAGTGGTCATAATGGCAATATACGTTTTAATTGTATGTTGACCTTCAAGTTGTAATTCCTTTTGGCTTTTCACATCAAGACCTCAATAGCAATAATCAAAAATATATTGGATTCTTACTATTTTATGAGCCTTTTGTTTGTTACTTAGGGGCAATAAAATGGTAAAATAAATGATTCCTGACTTTGAATATATAAATTCATTAAATTATCAAGATATTTGCCTGTTAAAAGATAATGCTCTACTTATTTAATTGTTAATAATGGTCTATGAAAAAAATGAAGTATAGAATTCAGATGAAGGAAGAGATCAATGTGATGCAGACTGATACATCAAAGACAGTGTGGAAGAGACAGAATTTAATTGGCATCTGGAAGGGTGAATTGGATTTGCATTGGTAGTGGTAAGAAAGAAAGTTGTTTGCTCAGAGGAAGTAACATGAACAGAATGTAGAGTTTGAAAAAGTGACATACGTTAAGGAAATTGTGTGAATAGGTTTCCCCAGTTGAAGTTTGGTATTGGAAACAGAGACATAGGCATATACTAGGATATTGAATATCAGCATAAAAAAATCAGGAGTTTATCCTGTGGGCATTATGGGGGATAAAAGGCCTTTACTCTTGCAACAACAATTGTCAGGATGGACCGAGAGGAAAGGAACTGGTGACAGGGAACGCAGACCAGTCGCAATGCAATTTGAACTGGTCAAGGAGTACAGTAATTACTTTCTCTACTCTTATCATTTTAATTAGGATTTAAACATAATAAGCTGATGTAGGAAAAATCATGAGGTTTGCTAGAGTTGGTGACCAGCCACAAAAGAAGGGCATTGGAGAAAGACTATTATAACTAACTCTGAGTTTTTCATTCTGTGATCCAGAAAGACTGATGATACTAGTGCCCAAAATGATATCTTACACCTGCTGGAGAAATGAGTTTTATAATTGCTCACTTTTTTCTTTGTATTGAAGTCACTTGCATGTTAATGTCACTTTGTACCATTCCTGACATTTGTATTCTTTTTATTTCATTTTCTTTTCATTTATTTTTTTTTGGTACAATTGTAAAGGGAAACTGCAATCAATAATTTTAGTCAGAGAGTTCTAATAGTAGAATTTTAAGGACAAACTCTAATAAAAGTCTTTGGTTTTGAAGAATAAAAATATTACAATTCCCATAAATTCAACAAATTATTTAACCTCCCTCATGAAAGACACTGGATACATCCTTCAGGGGTGCAGATGTGACAAAACTACACTCATGCCTTCAAAGGTGTTGCAGACTAATAATCACAAGTTACATGAAACAAGGCTAATGCAAAGCGACAGTGAATGTCACAATAGACATAGAAATAATATGCTATGAGACTCAAAGGAGACAAGAAGTCACTCTAAAAAGGATACCAGGAAAATTTGCACAGAACACTTAGAGTTTAAGCTGACCCTTGAGAGTTTGGTAGGAGTTCATAAGAAATTTAAAATACCTTTGTTTAGAAAAACCATACATTGTGACTCTCTCCTTTGCTTTTTGATTTCCTCACATATGTTGGCTCAATATATTTATTTTATTGTATAGTCAAAAATAATTTAAAAATAAGTATCTACTAGATAAAAATGTAGAAAAGTTGTCCAAGATTTGATGAATGAAGTAATTGAAAGTCGGCTTAGCAGATAATGACCAAAACTTTATCAGCCAATTCCAATGCCCTAACTCTTTATTAGCCCAGATTTACCAACCACACTAAATGGCAGATTTAAAACCATCACCCTCTAATGAACTTATACATAATGAATTAATGCTGGTGCTTGTACTGGTCCACCATTGAATCCTGTAAAATTCAGCAATGGACTTAATTATTAATGCTTAAGTTTCTTCTTTATTATGTTCTTAATTGCAGCCTGAAAATTAGCTTCATAAGTTGCTGGGGTAATGTTATGTCTTTTTGGAGAATCCTGCCAGTAGGAATATACAGTTATTACATATTACATATTCTCCTTTTCATGACATGATTTTTATTTGAAGCAAAAATACTATGGAATTGTTTGACCACAGCGTAGAATGCATGTTTTGTTCCCTCATGCAAAGATAGATAACAAAATACATATAATAAGCATTTATGGAGCTTTAGTACACATAATTTAATGAGTAGTGATTGGAGCTAAGGGTGAATAGATATTCTAATTTTGTCCTTAAATTTTTTTTTTTTTTTTTAATCACTTGTTAGGGTTCTCTAGAGACACAGAAACAATAGGATATATGAGAGGGGATTTATTAGGGGGAATTGGCTCACATGAACACAGAGTCAGAGCAGTCTCATGATAGGCTGCCTGCAAGCTGGAACACAGAAGAGCTGGTGGCATCGCTCAGTCCAGAAGCCTCAGAATCAGGGAAGCCAATGGTGCAGCCCCTAGTCCAAATCTAAAAGCCAGATAGCCCCCAGAGAGCACTGGTGCAAGTTTCAGAGTCTAAAAATTGAAGAACCTAGTCTGATGTCCAAGGACAGGAGGAGAAAAGGTGTCTCACTCTGGAAGGGAGAGAAAGCAGAGAGTCCTCCTTCTTCTTACCTGTTTGTCCCAGCCCCAGCTGATTGGATGGTGTCTGTCCACATTGAGGGCAGATGTTTCTCTCTCAGTCCACTGACTCAGCTTCAACCTCCTCTGAAAACACTCTCACAGACACCCAGAAACAATGCTTTACCAGCCATTTAGGTATCCCTCAATCCAGTCAAATTGACACCTAAAATTAACCTTCACAATCACTAGGAAATTTTCAGCTTTAAAGAACAGAATTCTTGAGTAAAAGTGGTTTAAAAATAAGGAAATTTAATATTTTATAAAAAGATAAAGCCAGACAATCAAAGATTATAAGGATAATTGTTCAGTTTTTTAACAAAGTTATCAGAGATTCAGTTTTGCTCAGCCATTCTTGACCTACAGAGTGTTTTAGGACTCTGCACAAATAACTCCCAAATTTCTGCAGAAGTCTCACATAACACCTTCATACAGTTCTGTCTGGGGCTGGCTGAGTGGCGTCTTTTCTTGTGCTTCTCTTTTTCCAGAAGGTAAACCTTTCCCAGCGGCCCCATGGCATATTCCCCATTGCATATCATTGACCGGAATTGAATCCTATTCTTGTGGCTAACCAGTGGTTGATTAAAAATAAAAAAAAAGAATATTCACAAAAAGTTAGGTTCTTAGTAAAGAAGAAAGGGGAAAATGATTGTTGGGAAGGCATTCAATAGCTGTCTTTGTAGGATTATAGTATATCATTATGTACTGCTAATTATATTTGGCGTCTTATTTGAAAGTTAGTGATACCTTAAAAGATATGGCACATTAAATCCAGCATAAAACTCAAGATCTTATCACCCCTTCTATTTACTGATGATGAAACTGAGGCCCAGGAAATTCAATTGTCTTAAGAGCATGGCACTGTGTCATAGCAGGACTTGAATTAATTTACCAGATTTATTGATTTTTTTGTTATGATTTTTATGATTTTTTTGTTTGTTTACATTCCTGCATTTTGTTAATCTAGTAGGAAAACATAGTCATCAAGGAGAAAAAAAGGACCAATACAATTGAAGTTATTTTTGGTTAGATCTATGTAGCGAAAATAATGATTATGTCCTTAAAAGTACTTTCATATGAAATTTTAGTTTTAAATAAACCTAACTTACTTTATTTAACATTTGGCTTTCTAGCCTAAGGTTGACAAAAGTCTGATTGCTTTAGGTCACTTTTGTTTAAATGTATAAGGAAAGGTAAGAATGCTCTTTTATTTGGTTTTTCAGTATAATGTCTTATTAAATATAGTTTCCCATTAAAAACGTATTTTTTAATTTGCCAAATTGCTGGATTTTTCAAAGTTTAGCTTTTGAAATAATTTTTATATTGCTATTTATATCATTTTATGGGTTACTTACTAAAACATGGTTCAAAAGACTTTGATTCATCCCAGACTTGAGCCCAGAGTGTTCTGCTATTAGTACTCCTCTTTTCCCCAGTAAACACACCTCCCGTCACCCTAGATAGCCCTCTTCGGATCATACCCTATAGGTTGATTCCAAACACAGGGCCCAGCAGAGCCACACATTCTTCACTTAAAAATTTACCTTCTTAGGCTTCAAAAGTGGATGTGACAATTAAACTCTGCATTTTTTTATTTTGTTCTTATCTTAAATCATTTTTCTACATCTATTTACTAACGTCGTCTTTAAAGAATGTGAGACCACAAAATACTGATGAGAAACTTTATGGTCCTGGTATATTTCCAAGGCTTCCTCAAATTATACTCACAGTTAGCTTTCTACCCTGCTAAGGCAGGCCAGTTTTCTTTCTGTCAGTCTTTTGCCCAGGCACCTTCGTTGGTAAGCCTTACTTCTAATTAACAAAACAAGAAAGAACAAACTCTTCTATTTTCCCGAGAAGAATAAGAGAGCATGAGGAAATGTGGACTAGCAGATCACCAGTGGGGTTGTCATCATTCTCTAAAAACTGCTGCCAAATTTCAGAATCAAGTGCCTTAGTTCCACCTAGCACATTGGGTCTCCTTGGCTTTCACACTATTTGCATTTCTAGGCCGGGCTCAGATCGTGTTCAGTTGCTAACTTGAATATGTGCCATTAAGTCATAGCAGACCTTCATTTCCATTTTGTGGAAGTACAGAGAGCTCCCTGTATATTGACACTGACAGAGTTGTTTGTCTATTAATGGTGTTTTTTATGTCTTCAAATCCCTCACACCAACCCCAATACTTTTGTGCTGTGAATAACTTTTCCCCACTGCTTCTATCTTCTTCTGTTCCTGACATTACTTTTTGGCTTCAGCTTACGTTCTGGCTATGTTTATTGTCCTGATACCATTGCGCTGTAATTTTGGATTTTATCTCAAATATACTCCAGTAATCATTACTAATGTATTTTGTTTATCAGAGTAATTACAACCTCTGCCTTATTGTTTATCTGTTCTGGGAAAAGTACTTCTTCAACTGCCCCCTACCTGATCTGCCTGAATTGTTGCTCTTATTATGTTATTTCTTGTTCAGAAATCAAGTCCCTCACCCTGCCGTCTAAGACCTCCACAATGTAGCCTGGCACTCCTTAGTCTTTTTTCTCACTAATTGTCCCATCTTTTCTTATGCGTGACCCAAATGGTAGTTCTTTACTGAACAAACACTATGCTTCTCTATCTCCTCATCCTATAGTAATTTGCTTTTCTGAAAAAATACACTCTTTTCCTCACATCAAATACATATTTGAAGTTCAAGCATTCTATAAGGCCTATTTAATGTGCCATTGGTTCTATGGGCCTTTGCTTGAAAATCTCTTGCCATCTTTAACTTCAGGAGTAATAGTCACATTAGTCATAATTTCTAGAGTGTAGTGTTCTTCTGAGTTCCGACTAGCTTTTACGGAGTCTGAGGTTACTAGATCAGTGTTCTACTTAGGACACATTTATTTTTTAACACTTAGGTCAAGCTCTTCTGATTCAGAGCGGTATTATTGCTGTATCTATGTTTCAGTGTCATTGTCAATCACAAATATTTTAAATGTTTTAAAGTAATTCAATAATTGATTTACTATGCTTTTCCTCTTTTTATATTTTTATCTATTATCTTATTTGATGGTTAATATTAGGTGTCAACTTGACTGGATTGAAGGATGCCAAGATGACTGGCAACGTTTTGTTTCTAGGTGTGTCTGAGGGTGTTTCCAAAGGAGATGGATGCAGGAGTCAGTGGCCTGAGAAAGGAAGATATGCCCTCAGTGTGGGTTGTTACCATCCGATTGGCTGTGGCAGTGGCCAGAACAAAGAGACAGAAGAAGGGGGATATTCAGTTTGCTTGTTTTTTTGTTTGTTTGTTCTTTTTTATTTTTGTCGTGATCTCTTTCTCCCTTTGGAGCAGGATGCATTTTTTTCTCCTTCTGCCCTTGGACATCTGATTCCAGGTTTTTCAGCCTTTGGACTCTAGGACTTGCACCAGCAGCCTCCTTTGGGCTTTCAGCCTTCGGCCTCAGAATGGGGCCTGCACTGTAGCTTCCCTGGTTTGGGGGATTTGGGACTTGGCCTGAGCCATGCTTCTGGCTTCCCTGGGAGCCCCTATTGGCTTCTGTCATTCTGCAGTTTGTAGCCAGCCTACTGTGGGACTTCGCCTTTGTGATTGTTCAGCCAATTCTTCCTAATAAATTCCCGTTTATATATATATATGCGTGTGTGTGTGTGTGTGTGTGTGTGTGTGTGTGTATGTGTGTGTATGTGCATATATACAGATATATATCCTATTGGTTCTCTACCTATGTAGAACTCTAACTAATGCATCCTCTAATTTCGATTTATCTTCTTTGAAACTAGGCCACAGACATCTGTGACCCAAATCCAATCCTGATGCTCATGCTTTGTGTCTACATGTATGAAAGACTCCCTACATATCTCCCTAAGAAGGTGGTGTCCTTTGAATGTACTCTACATGACACGGTGCTGAATAAGGTAAGGATAATTTTGGGGTCAAAATGTGTAAGGAGTTACACAATTAAGAGAGGTTTTAGATATTTCTTTCCCAACCCAAAATTAACAGCAAGCGTCTGTAGGAATAATTTTATTAAAAGTGAATAAGCCTTATCAAATGTTGCTTCTTCTAAGCCAAAGGTCTAGATGAGCGAAAGGTGCAATTTTTGCTTAAGAGTAATCACCACTTGCAATGAAATGATGACTCTTTTCTTACTCATTTTCATTTGATTTAAAATAATATTATTCTGTATACAAGTTAATTTACTGCTTTGATAAGATTCATGTTTATTCCTTTTTTCAGGCTCTTTTATGTTTGTCTCTCTTAATATATGATTGGGAAGGAGGATAATTTTATATTTTTGATGCAAAACTCATCCATATGTGGTCTTCAAAAGATATGCCACGGTGATCTTTGATCTGTAATTGTAACTTCTTTGAGAAAATAACTGTAGCCTCCATGATGGTGTGAGCATCAGTTGATAAGGATTTAGTTAAAAATTGAAGAAAAAAAAAAACAAAACCCAGGTTCTTATCTCAAAATGTAGAGGACTGAATTTAGTGAAAAGAAAGCCTCCTCTTCTTTGTGTTTGGTTTGTGTTAGTAAATACTGAGGTTCAATCTCTTTTATTTACTTTATTTCTTTCCTTTTTTGTCAAAAAAAAAGACATAAAACTCCATAGAATTCAGTATTTACTATGATAATTTGCTAATTGCAATGATATCCAAGGGCTTTGGATAAATAACAAGCCTTGAGCTATAATTATATTGAATTTTTGACTTCAAAATAACATTTCAGAAGAGTTAAAAGTTTTTTGCTTAGGCCTGCAGGAGACAGGAGTGTAAATTTGATTTAAGTATAATTTATTACTGTTAACTATTATTACCAATTCTCTATTTCTGTCTACATGATTGTATTCCTTCATATCACTTAATTGTTATTGATGTTTTTAAGTAGTTAATATTAATGCTAGCTAACGTTTAAAAATAAATTTAAATTATGATGTTAAAAACCAAATTAAATCATGTTTAAATAGAACACGATTTATTTTCTCATTTTATTATTTTGCTAGAAATAATGCTCATACCTAAGATTATAGATAAAATTATACAAATATACCTTTCATTTTTCACAATGTAAGAAAAATTTTTGAAAGAAGAAATAAATAAAATGTATATGCAAGATAAAACAAATTACAACAAGCTTTGATTTTAACTTTTATTTAAGAAAATTAGTGATTTGGAAATTGCTGAGAATCTTTTATGTATTTTGCTCCTGTGAATCAACACGATGAATGGCAGTGCGTTAAGTCATAGAAAGTCGTTCTTACCACCAACCCTATCAATGTTACAGAATATAGCAAAATCTCCAGAAATGGCTACAAAATTGAGAAAGTATTTCTTTTCTTTTTTTTTTTTTTTTTTTGAGACGGAGTTTCACTCTTGTTGCCCAGGCTGGAGTGCAGTGGCACGATCTCGGCTCACTGCAACCTCTGCCTTCGCAGGTTCAAGCGATTCTCCTGCCTCAGCCTCCTGAATAGCTGGGAGTACAGGTGCCTGCCACCATGCCCAGCTAATTTTTTGTATTTTTAGTAGAGACGGAGTTTCATCATGTTGGCCAGGCTGGTCTTGAACTCCTGACCTCAGGTGATCCACCCGCCTCGGCCTTCCAAAGTGTAAAAAAGTATTTCTATAGCTATGGGCAAATAATAGAAACATAGACTGCTAGAACAAGTACAAAAAAGTAGTGGTCAGTGAAAAAACATAGAGTGCAGTGATTTTCCGAGACATTCAAAAAGCAGTTGAATTTTGTTTTCCTTTTGAAACAAAATTTACACAGAAGCAGAATAAAGAATGTCATTGCAAAAAAGGAATTGAGACTTTAAAACTTTCTTTTGTTCCCTTAAACAGCTAGCTCTTCTTCCTATCTACTCCTCATCACCCCTACACGAAATCCTGGAGTTGGGTGGTATGACTGTCTGACCACAGATGAGTCCAATACCATTTTGTCATATGTGTGATATGTATGATATAGTGACAATGAATGGCTTCCTTATGATCTAAACAGTTCACAACAAATCTACTATAATTTGCAACATTTCCTTCCAAAACAATAGGAATTAGCTCTCTGGGACTTAAAATCGCTTGGTCTGTTAATGAATATTTGAAATGCATACATTTGTATGAATGTATGTACCTACAAAAAGATTACCACACCACAGTGGGGTACCACACTATAGTGGGGGTCTTGCCCCCATTATTGATGTCTTTAAGTATTTGAGAACATGAGGCCTCCAAATCCTTAAAGAAACTAAAGTTGGAAATGCTTTATCAACAACACACTTGTTCTATTGGTTACCAAAGTTTCCATTGAACTAAGAAAATAATTAATCTTTCACCAGATTTTCATCATATTCCTTATGACTCACTATAACCATACCTACTGCTACTTTTTCACTCTTCGAATATCTGTGACTATAGGTCCTGAACTTCATAATTTGCAGTGACCTTTTATTCACTCTAATTTGACCAATTATCCTTTTCCCCCATCCTCACCATTCTCTGGGTCAGAACTTTTGGTGATACCTTGGCATCTTGTTAAATAAAAAAAAATATTCATGACACCTGTTAAAACGGTAAGGCAGACTTTATTCAGGACTATTATGATAGTTATAGGGACCACTGCAAAGCAGTTTTGCAGTGGGGGAGAGAGATTGAGCTCAACTCGAAATAAAACAAGGAAAAGCAGGAATTTACAGCCAAGGAGCAGGATGGAGATCAGTGGGTGGGAAATGACTAAGAGGAAACATATGGGTAAGGGGGGATTCTGGCTAAACCAATATAAGATTTTTGCTAAAGGAAGGCCAGGGTGATCATACATTACCTGAGCAATGGCAGGAGATGAGGAATTTGGTTAGATATCAAGGGTGATTAGATACTGAAGGTGTGGAATTCTGGTTAAACTGATTTAGCAGGATTCTTGCTAAAATTGGGCTCTTGAGGACATGCCCAAAGGTGGGGCCTAGTTAAAAAAAGAGTTCAGACAAGCCTTACTGGAGTGTGGTTGAGAAGAAAATCTTTGTCAGTCTTCCTAAAGATTGTTTTTTGAATCTCCATTATATTTTACATAAACACTTTGTGTACTCACGTTTTTCAAGAAGTACTCTTTTGTAATAAAGCAACTCATTTTCTAATGCTCCCCATGTCTCTGGATCAGGAGGAAGGAGACAGCCAACCCTTCGTTGAACTACCACATCTAGACTGGGCCACCATTATATTCAGCCTGAAACTGTTTTTAAATCTATACTCCTTATAATACCTTCTACACTGAGCAGCCAGAGTATCCTTTTTGTAAATTGGATATATAAGTTCCCTTTTTAAAATTCCCCAGTGGTTTTCCTTTGCAATAAAAATAAAATCCAAGCTGCAAATGCTGATCTTCAAATCACTGGTGATAAGATGCTTTTGCATTTGTAATTCCCTTTGTTGAAAGTTCCTTCTCTTTGCCCACTTCAGCTAAACTGTATGTATGTGTGTGTGTGTGTGTGTGTGTGTGTGTGTGTGTGTAGTTGTTATTTTAAAATACAAATTCTGGCTTTGTCCAGTTGGTGTTCATTATAAATAAGTATATTTATGACTAAAATCTATTGCTATCTTTGATAAAAATAAGAAATGATATAGTTGCATAGTTTTTAATTTTATAATCTTACTTATATCCTCTTCTACTTCTACATAGATTCTACTGAAAAATTCCAGCTCGCGAAACTTAGTGTATAATGCTAGAATTGTTGGAAGAGATGCTGCTGACTTCTCCCTTTCCCAAAAAGGGAATGTTGTGACAATTTCTCCAAGGTAAGTATTTTTTTTAATTTTACATTATCAGACATATCAACCCCAAATATTTAATGTTATAATTATAAAATGTGACTTTGATTTTAATATTGATAGATATTTAATGAAACGATTGTCACTCACAGTCAGACAAATATTCGTATGTTTCTACAATTCCTCACCAAAGTTGTTGAAACAATTCTAACAACATAAAACAGCTGTTTTATATGTGCATTTAATTTTAATTTGTTTTTTATGCATACGGGTCATAGAAACAAGACTATAAGTTGGTTTGTTGTGTACTGCCATTCTGTTTCCTGCAGGAAACTGAAACCAGTGCATTCTAAAAGTATGTATGTATATAATTTAAAGATATATATATTTTATTTATTTATTTATTTATTTATTTATTTTATTTTTTTTTGAGACTGGGTTTCCCTCTGTCGCCCAGGCTGGAGTGCAGTGGCACGATCTTGGCTAACTGCAACCTCTGCCTCCTGGGTTCAAGCAATTCTCCTGCCTCAGCCTCCCAAGTAGCTGGGATTACGGGCGCCTGCCACCACGCCTGGCTAATTTTTGTATTTTTAGTAGAGGCAGGGTTTCACCACGTTGGCCAGGCTGGTCTCGAACTCCTGACCTCATGTGATTCACTCACCTCAGCCTCCCAAAGTGCTGGGATTACAGGCATGAGCCACTGTGCCCGGCCTATATATATTTTATATATAGTTTTTGCTGATTATAAAGGCAGCATGTACTAATTATAGGAAATTTAGAGACTATGAAAGTATGAAGAACCAGAAAATAAAAGGTTCATAATCCTACCTCAAAGAACTCCCCATGTTGCCATTTTTCTCTGTGCCCTCATAGTCATTGTGTATGTGTGTGTAAATGATGGATAGACAGATAGATGATATATATACATGTAAATATACTCCCAAATTTTGATAATGTTATATGTGTCATTTTTATCTAATTGTGTTCTCATAGTTATTTAATGTTTCTACTACTATCCCACTCACAAAAATAAAGTATAATTGAAACCTCCAGAGAATAGTTTTGGGAAATTAAATCTGAGCATAATGTGAGTCTTCCCAGATCAACAAATCATGTTGGATATGCCAACACATGCTAATGACATAAATACTCTTGTTTATTAAATAATACAAAGATGATATGAGAACAGCTGTGTCAGTACCATAGCAGTTGACAAATTTGATAACTACTAATGAACTTTAACTAGTCTTGAATTTTAGTCATTGCCTTTGCATTCAATTATTTTTCTCCAATGAAATGTGATAGATAACTACTAAAGTTACTTTGCTTGATTATCTCTTTGGATTTTAACTATACATTAAATTGAGTAACTTTTCAAGCTGTAGTCTTTATTTCTGTACTAGTATATCAAACACAGAAATAATAATAAAAAAGGGCCATTTTAAATTGTACCTAAAATATCCTGTAACCCATTTTCAACAGTGCCCTTGTTTCGTGTCATTAGCCTATGTTAGCTTTCTTCAGTTATTACTCCATGCTAAAGGGGCATATAAAAGATCTTAATTCAACCTAAAGTAAACCTGAGGAAAAAATCTATACTTGCCTGCTTCTTTATTATAAATAAAATATTAGAATAAAATTCCTTGTATAATAAAAAGAACCTACCCATTTTCCAAGATCATAATAAAATAGTTAAATTTCTAATATGTCTATTAAAAAACATAATGATAATAACACAAGTTCATTTGGACATTGTCACATAACCATTTATTTTGTTGTCAAAGATTTTAAAACTTGAGATCTATACTCCACTCTTCCAATAGGGTGATACAAGTGAAAAGGATGAAGTTTCTCCTGCATTTTTTCCACTCATAAACCTGATAGCCTATTCCAGTATTTCAAAGCTTTATGTGGAAATTCTTCCTAATAACCACAATAAACCTCTGATAATTTAGTTTAAGATTACTTTTCCTGTTAAGGAAGTTCATATTTGTTATTTTTATTATAAATGTGCACGGTAGAAAATTTGAGTTATAGAAAAATAAACAGGATAACAAAAATCACCTAGAATTACATCAAACACAGTTTGTTAGTTCGTTTCTTTCCAGTCTTTTCATAGGCACACATAGGTTTATTATAACATATGCATACTTATGTATTTACATAATACAGGCATTATATGTAAATATTAACATACTTAATATTTATTCAACATTTGCTATATAAAAATATCTATATCATATGAACTTTGTTTCATATGTCAATATCTATATAGTATGCACTTCATATTTAATCTTCCTAATACCCTATTAGTGTTCTCATATTATAGAAGAAGATATTGGACACGGAGACATTAAATTACCCAATGTTCCCTGCTATTAAATGCCAAAGTAGAGATTCAAGACCAGTGAATACAAATTCAGAGCTGGCACTTTTATTAAACTGACACTTGCACATATCTTGTGCATGTGTATGTGTGTGTGTGTCTGTCTGTGTGTCTGTGTCACATTCAACAAAGCCCTTTGCATTCAATATAATGTTACTTTGACTATTTCTAAGCAATCCTGAAGATCCATGATATAATTGTGTCTTAGTCTGTTTGGGCTGCTATAACAAAACACCAAAAACTAGGCAGCTTACAAACAACAGAAATGTATTTTTCACAGTTCTGGAGGCTGAGAAGCTCAAGATCAAAGCACCCACAGATTGATTTAGTGTCTTGTGAAGGCTTGCTTTCTAGTTCATAGATGGTACTTTCTTTCTGTGTCTTCACGTGGTGGTAGGATCAAGGCAACTCTATGGGGCTTCTTTTCTAAGTGTAATAATCCTATTAATGAGAGCTCTGCTCTCATGATCTAATCACTCCCCAAAGTCCCCAACTCCTAATACCATC
Source organism: Homo sapiens (assembly GCF_000001405.40). NCBI lineage: Eukaryota > Metazoa > Chordata > Mammalia > Primates > Hominidae > Homo > Homo sapiens. The sequence goes on from NC_000023.11 coordinate 36,152,090, forward strand.
ACAATGGTGATTAGGTTTTCTTCTCTCTTTTTTTTTAGCTTTATTGAGGTAAATTGGTAAATAAAAATTATATATATTCAAGGTATAGAGTATGATGTTTTGGTATACATATACATTGTCAAATGATTACAGCAATCAAGGTATTGACATATTCATTACCTCAAAAGGTTGCCTTTTGTATATGTCTTATGAGAATACTTAAAATATACTTTCTTTACACCTGTCAAGTGTAAATGACATTATAGTCACTTTGATATAAACTAGGTATCCAGAACTTACTCAAGTTATATCTTCATGTTCGTACCCTTTGATTAGTATCTCCTCATTTTCTCCACCACCTGACCCAACAGTGGCTCCTTCCTTGATGGGGTACAGGACCCAGCAGCATTTCCCTTTCCAAGGGATTCACAACAGGAATGCCTATTGGTTATGACAGGAGTGAAAGCTGCTGGCATACTCTGTAGAGCAGTTTACTGGGGACCTAAGTAGCACCCACTGTGTGGCTGATAATGATAAGCCCTGCCCTTCCTTGTTCCTAGCCACCTCTAGACAGCTCAAGTATGCCTGTCTCTCTAATGATCTTTCTGTGTGGTTTTCGTCAGGTTATTGCTCCATTGTGTTACTTCAGGGTCTTAATTGGAACCTTGAGCCCTCTCTAAGCTATTTTCTTTCATAGATAGCTGTTTAATTATTGTTTTTATGTGGAGAGAATGAAGATTAGTATCTCCTACTCTGCTGTTCTGATGATGTCACTCCTCTTGTAATTAGGTTTAAACATGTGAACTTGGTGGGGGGGACACAAACATTTAGACCTTAGCTTTCTACCCTGTAGCCCCAGAATTTATGTCTTCTTGCCTGAAGAATATATTCATTCCATCCCAATAGCCCCCCAAAATCTTAGCTCACTTCAACGTCAACTCAAAAGTCTGAAGTCTTAATTCTCACCTATCATATAAGTCTTGTATTTAGGGTTTGCCTAGAAAAATAAAAGTATAAGTCTGATATGGGTGAGATTCAAGGTATGATTCTTCCTAAGGCAAATTACTTTCCAGCTGTGATTCTGTGAAATCAAATAAGTTATATTCTTCCAAAATACAATGATGGAATAGGCGTAGGGTAGACACTTCTACCCTATTCCAAATGGGGGAAATAGGAAAGAAGAAAGTGATAACAGGTCCTAAGTGTGTCCAAAACTAAACAGGACAAATAACATTAAATCTTAAGGCACCAGAATAATCTTCTTTGACTTGAAACTCTGTTCTCCAGGCCCACTGGTGGTCCTGCCCCCGATGGCTTTGAGGCAGCCCAGTGCCTGCCACAGCTCTGTGTCTGAGAACATGTCAGTTCTCTGCAGTAGCCTCACCGCTGTGGTCATTCTATGCCTGGGTCTTGTGGTTGTGGTTACCCTGAGCTGGAATCTTGCTCCAATGTCTCTACTGGTGTGAGGTCTTCAGGGAGGCCTGCCTCCAGAGCTCTACTGGGCATTGCTTTAGTGGGAACTCTGCAGTGGCCCTTCCCCATGGCAATTCTCTAACTGAACCCCAAGACTCTCCAGGGTACCCTTTGAAATATAGGTGAAGGCATGCACTTTCTGTGCTTTCTGCACCAGTGGAAATGGTACTACATGGATGCCTCCCAAATTTATTGTCTGTGCCCATCAGAGGGGCAGCTACCACATTCCAAGCCACACCTGGGTCTGCTGAAGCAGCACCTGGGGCAGCCAAGGAGCATGATACTGGAATGTGGACAGTAGAGCCTTGAGGCATTGGTGGGCAGCAAACACCAGGGTCTCACAGCTGTTCATACTCCCTTCTCCTTAAAATTATTCTGTCTCTCAGGCCCTGGCATTCTGGGCCTATGATGGGAGAGGCAGCAAGGATGATCTCTGAAATGTTTTGGGGTAATTCTCCATAGTTTTAATGAATATCATCTGGTTTTCATGGAGATTCCTGATCCATATTAATCTCCTTATCAAACAGTTCCTTGCCCACACCCTTGTTCTCCCCTAAACATGTTTGTTCTCTCATTCTTTTCAATATGGATAAGCTAAGAATTTTCCAAACTTTTAAGTTCTGCTTCCCTTTTGGTTAAAAATTCTGTTTTTAAATCATTTCTTTCTTCTTCCATTTTACTATATGCATTCAATAGAAGCCAATCCACACCTTTAACACTTTCTTGGAAAATTCTTTAGTCAGACATTCTATTTAATCACTCACAAGTTCTACCTTCCAGGAAACACCAGGACACAAACACCATTTAGCCAAGTTCTTTGTCACTTTTTAACACGGGTTTTCTTCCTCTGTTGTCTAGTAACTTGCTCCTTATTTCTGTCTGAGACCTCATCAGGATGGCCTTTACTGTCCATACTTCTACCAGTATTCTTTTCACGAACTTTTAGGTAATTTCTAAGAATGTTAAACCTTTCTCTACAGCTTTATTCTTTTGAGCCTTCACCAGAATCACCCTTTTAGGTAATTTCTGAGAATGTTCAAGCTTTCTCTACAGCTTTATTCTTTTGAGCCTTTTCCAGAATCACCCTTTTAGGTAATTTCTAAGAATGTTCAAGCTTTCTCTACAGCTTTATTCTTTTGAGGCTTTACCAGAATCACCCTTTTAGGTAATTTCTAAGAATGTTCAAGCTTTCTCTACAGCTGTGTTATTTTGAGCCTGCACCATAATCACCCTTTATGGCCTTTATATAGTAATGTTGGCTTTTTTTTTTTTCAGCATGCACCTCAATTCTTCCAGCCCCTACCTATTACCCAGTTCCAAAGCCACTTTGACATTTTAGGTATTTGTTACAGCAGCACCCCCACCCACTTCTCAATACTAATTTGCCATCTTAGTCCATTCAGGCTGCTATAACAATAAACCATAAAATAGGTAGCTTACAGACAACAGAAATTTATTTCTCACAGTTCTAGAGTCTGGGAAGTCCAAGGGATCCAGGTGCTTGCAGATTCAGTGTCTGGCAAGGGTCTGAGTTCTGGTTCATATATGTATGAATTTATATATATATAAATTGCTAAGAGCACTTGTTCTCTGACTATTTCTATCTCATGACATCCTGTTCTTAAATTGAGGTACCATATCTTCATAATTGTCTCTGACTTTTATGTTCTCATCTATCCTTGAATTTTCTCTAAAGTCAGTTGCTTTATTTACCTTGATCTTAGTGTTCCCTGTTAAAAGATTCGCTCAAATGCCTCCTGACACATGGTTATTCATTCATATGTAATAACATGGCAATAGAAAAGTAAATTTCTGTACTGTATGTGCACAGGTATGTCAATTGGTAGGCTTCACATTAGGGTGAAAAACCATTCTGCTTTTATGCCCAATTGTCTGACATTTTATAATGGCATTGAAGGGAGTAGGGTTGTCTGAACCCCATCTTGCCCTTTATGTGGTGGTGGTTTCCTCTAACCAGCTGTGTTTTGAAAATCTCTTTATTATAATTTTCATGAGATTTTTCTTAGGAAAAGAAATGATGAATCTGGGTTTCAGATGCCATTGTGGTTTAGAACTCCTCTTATATCATTTAACAATTAAATGTTATGTTTCAGTCTTGACATGTAAAGGCTCTATGATCCAGCCTCAGTTTCCTTATTTGAAAAATGTGGATAAGGCTATGTACCCACAGTGCTGTCAGTAATAAATATGATTATGTAGGCAAAACACCTTGTACCATAATGGAACTTATAGGAAGCAATTAATAAGGATGACCGCCTCAATTTGGAGTACTGGTGACTCACAAATTAAAATATATCAACACTACTCGCAAATGCTTACAATCTATCCCAATGCCAGGCAAGCAAATACATACCGAAGATATAAATCAATAATTATTTTATTTATTATGTGTGTATAGAACTAGATGAAAACTGAAAAAGAAGTGCCTGCCTACTCTTGAGGAAACCAAGGAAGGGTTCCCAGAAGAAGTAATGCTTAATTCTGAACACATATAAAAAACAACTACTCACTTATCTAAATGCATTTTATTTTGTAGGCTTGAAATAAAATTATTTTAGGTAGCTGTTATTTTAGGTGGCTCTCTTTAGTTAGGCTAAATAATTTCATAGGATTTGGTTTTTACAAATACGACTCAGAAAACATTTTGTTTTCCTAAACAAAAAAATGAGTAATTTTATCATTATAAGATATTATATAATTATATATTTATGTGTGCCACATTCTTTGTTAGATACTGTCTAGATCACAGTTAATAATGTCTCTTTCTGCCAGCTATGGATTTAAATTCTCAGACATATTACTTATATAGAAAATGTTAAACAGCTACACCAGCATATAAACAAACATATTTACTTCTGCATCTAACTTTATGACTACATTTAGCTATAACCATAGAGTGACTGTCATAAAAGTGAAAGTATAAATTTAGCAAACCATTCTTTTTTTCTCATTATTTTCATTGAGCCATATGTGCACTGACATTGATGTGTTGTATATTTATTCTCCATCTATTCCAAAGGCTAAATTGAAGTAGCTTACAATGTATATATAATATCAAGGAGGTTTTTTTTAAAAAAAAATCAGGGAAAGGCAATTGGAGCAAAAAAAATAAAAGGTAAAATAATTAAAATGAAACCTATAGTTATGATAGAAATGCCTGGAGACTTAGGAAACTTACTCTAAGTAGACTACACATTTGATTCTGAAGTTTCTAACAAATTCAGAAAAGAATGCTGGTCATTTACATGCTTCAATATAACTACAAAATTTAAAAAATAATTACCTATACTTAAGAGAAGGCTGTTCATGGAACCAGCTATTTATCTCATAAAAAGGATACTCTATTTTGAAATGTATTCCATAAGACTTAAGTATAGGTTCATAAAATCTTTCATTAAATTCATGTTCTTTAGATGGTGGTCATTCTTGAATGCTTCTCTTTTCATCAGCTTCCATCGAGATCCAATCCGTTACCAGATCCTATCGATTTTACCAATCGTGTCATAAACCTTGTTTCTTTTTCCCTTCTTCACCTGTTCCACCCCGATTTAATGTAACATCATCTTTATACTAGACTGCCACAATAGACTCCTAAAAATCTTGTCTGAAATCTATCCTCTATATTAGAATGACAGCTAATTTTTAACAGAAATTTAAACCTTTAACAGAAATTTAAAAAGGTGCTTAAAATATTTCAGCTTCCCATCAACATTTGGATATAGATTGAATATGCTTAACATGGTCCAAAGTACACTTTCACTTTTGTGACAGTCACTATGATTTCGCAGCTTGCTCTTGGCTATATTTTGCATCATTACCCCTATTGCTTGCTAAGATTTAGCATTACTGGCCTTTGATTAGTTATTCAAACACATTTTAATTCCCCATACCAGAGGCCTTGGATGCCTTCTTTCATCCCCTGTTCAATCTAGTTAACTCATTCTGATACTTCACATTCCACCTAATATATCACTTTCTCTGACCTTTCAGACTATGTCACACTCCCCATTGTATGCTCTCACAGCACATATATAATTTGTAATTTTCACATTTATTTTGTGTTGGTAGAATGTTGGCCATGTCCTACCGTTTGTACTATCCAGGAGAGCAGGAATAGTGGTGTTTTTTTTTTCTAATTACTGTATCTCAGAAACCTAAAAGAGTGCCTGGAACACTATAAATTATCTAAAAATATCAATTGCATGAAAGAATTAATGGATAAATGATCTTATATAGTGATGTACTTTAGAATAACTGGAAATAGTCTAAATCACTCACTGTTATCTTAATAAATAATTTGAGCCTATATACCTGGAAAAAGACCTCAAGGTCAAATGTTCTTTGTTCTCAGTTAAATTCATGCCCATGAGTTTTCATAAGAGTCCTTTTGCACACAATTGAAATTGTTGAGGACACATATCTAAATTAAAATCACCCCCACTCCTGTAAGTTGTGAGCTGTAATTTTCCCTACAAAACTATTTTGAGAACATTTCTATTGCTTTTGAAAACCCCTCATTTATCTCACTCCTCGTTTCTTCCTAGTCTCACCCATTCAACAGCAACTGCACAAAAGTTCTGGCGCAATTAGGTCAAGGTTTGACACCAAGGGAATCTATTCCCATCTCCATTCTTAAATATGTGCATTCTAAGCGAAGACAATAGGTAGTAGTTGGTACAAAAGAATAACTGTTATGGGATGTATAATGGTAACCATGCTAAAAACCAGAGGAAAAGCAAAGATAAAATTTCCCCAAGTTTTATCACCTACAGCGGTATCAAGGCAAGGCAAGATTGAAAGATTGATCCAGTAACAAAATCGAGAGTCCATTGTTTAATTTAGAGTGTATAACTTATTTAAACAGTGAAAGCATGAGTAATCAAAGGTACTAGATTCACATGTCCCTTGTACAGGGCAATATCAAAATAAAAGGGGTCAGATCACTGCCTCATGGATGGTAAGACACCCTCTTGCTGAGGAGCTAAATTTGTGCTGTCATTAAGCTTCATGGCCTGTAACTCTATCCTAAAAGGAGTAAGGAAGCAAGCCTCATACCTCATCACAATCCAGGAAGCAATGATAAACTGTCTGGTGACAGTCTCTCAGGGGAGATTAGGGAGGCAAGTGAGAAATGTTCCTAGAGCAGCAATTCGTGAGCCTCCATGCTCTTATATTGCAGGAGGATCATGGGGTTTCTGCCAAGACTTTTGTCAGCTGCATTTTTACAGTGCATATGTGGCCTATGTGGACTCATGCAAGGTTGCTGGGGTACCATGGTGCGGTCATTTTCCTACAGACTGGTGAATGGAATCTCCAAATCCATAGCCTCTTCACCATTATACTATGTCTTAGACTGCCAAATTGAAGATTAAGGAGGATGAAAATATTTTCCTTATTCCTTTTTGTAATTAATTAAATGTTATTATTATCTGCCATTATTTGGTTATGAGTTTTGAATGTTATTTTCACTAATGATTTTATGCATTTTTTGAATTTTTACTTTCTTAATGTTTCCACATGTTACCAGAGACCAGTGACATGACAAAGTATTTGCCTAAACAGTAGCACAGAATGTCCTATGAATTTCCCTCAAAACAATTCATACATGGTTTCCTGTGGCTTGCTGTTAGAAAATCCTTTATTTGAGAGATTATATATTTGAAAGTTAACTTCAGATTTTACAAAATATATTACGATAGCTTAACCGATGACAATAACTAGATTGTAGGCTTCTTGATAACTGCAGCTGAAGTGAGTACCTTGCAGGGGGATGTAGGCATTAGACACATGGTCTACATTAAACAAATGCTTGTAAGTTGTCTTTTTTGTTAAAACGTTTTCTCTTTTATCTTTTACTAAATAGAAATGAAATTAATGTCACTCTGAAATTCACCAGTCGCTTTATTCGTCCTGCTGAAGCTTCACTACTATTAATTTCAAAACCCAAGAATGCAGTAAGAGGAATTACAATGACTTTTGCTCTTAAAGGCAAAGTCCTCGATTTTAAAGCCATTGTAAGTAAATTTTACCTACGATGTCTTTGCTTCTCTTATCAGACCATGAAGTATCAAAAGCATGTTATTGTTATACATTTTATCTCTAGGCAGCTGTTTCTTGAGTCATCCCTGTGCCATGGATACTTGTGATTTAAGTTAAAGCAGTTCTGGGCCTGTGTCTGTGTTTTTGCTGGACTAAGGGTTGATAGTTTATGCAGTAAAAAAGGACTTTCCTGTTCTCTGGCAGGAACTTTCATCAGTTTATCTTGTGTGTCCTGTAGATCAAATCTATTATAAAGATAAGACTAATGCTGGCATTTATTGAGAGGTGACGATGTTCCAGACAGAGTTCTAAGTATTTCTTTTTCAAAGGGTGGGGAAGAGAGATTTTTAAATCTTTATAAAATGGTTGTGACATTATTGTGATTGACTTTTTGTAGCCATTATCTCTTCTAAATATTAATTTCTACAATGGATGTATGGTACAGAATAAGTAAATTCATTAGATTGCCAGATTTCCAAATGGATTATAAAGAAATTTAGGTGTGCAGGGCAAGAGTGGTAAGCAGAGAAAATGACTGTAGGATGGTTGAGTGATGGCCTGTTGTTGAGGAAGGCACTGAGATGCTCATATGGACAGACTGTCTTTTGAGACAATGATGCTCAGAACAGGAAGTGGGCATTTGTCACTTCCTATGTGTAATCTTATTTCCTCCTGAATAATGAACATGTACTTTTCCCAACCCTCTCACACAAATTATCTGAAACAAGACATTGTTTTGTCACATGTGGCTAAGAGATATGGCTGGGCTTAGCCTGTCATTGGTGGTTCTGGGGGTAGACATGCAACTGTTTACTTCCCCATCTTCCCCTATATGGTCTTAAGTCACTGGAAAGCAGATTAGATAATAAAAACAAAATAAAATAAAACAGTAAAATAATCTTTCTGAAATTATAGAATACCTAGAAAGTTTTTCTCCATGGAATTTCTTTTGATAGTGGGAAGTACTGTCAGTGTAATATTAAATGGACGGTTTATAGATTTTTAAGATTATATTTTATAATTCAGAAAGTTCATTTTTTGTTATTATCATGTGGTAAGACTTTATTTTTTTACTTTAGGACATTATAAAATGCGAAAGCCCATGTTATCAATTTCAGGAAGTCACTGTAAATGTGAAAAACCCCTTCCATACGGCTGGGGACTTCAGGTAAGTTATTGTTTTGGTGTAAATTCATTGCAATTAGCTCTATCTCCACTCTGAAGAGACATATGTGATTTTCTTTCTTTCTTTTTTTTTTTTTTTTTTTGAGACAGTCTCGCTCTGTGGTCAGGCTGGAGTACAGTAGCACCATCTTGGCTCACTGCAGCCTCCACCTTCCAGGTCAAGCGATTCTCCTGCCTCAGCCTCCCAAGTAGCTGGGACTACAGGGGTGCCCCACCACACCCAGCTAATTTTTGTATTTTTAGTAGAGATGGGGTTTCACCATGTTGGCCAGGATGATCTCGATCTCTTGACCTCGTGAGCCACCCGCCTTGGTCTCCCAAAGTTCTGGGATTACAGGCATGAACCACCGCGCCTGGCCGTAATTTTCTTCATCTCTTCAACATGAACCATTTCGAGCAGAAATTATATGTGTTCAAATTCCTATAAACTTCTAAGCACCATCAGAAAAAATTAAACAGCTAATTAAAGTAAATCAGTTTTCCTGAAATGATCATACTAAATTTATGAGTTTTGTCTGCAAGTTGTTTGTTGAAATTCAGTGTTCTTTCAATTATTAAAAAATATGTATAATTAATAGATTTTTTACTTCTAATTTTATTCTGTACATGTCCAAAATTGAAATATCAATTTAAGCAGAAAAAAACATTTTTACTTAGAGCATCATAACTAATTTATACTGCACAATCAATGTGCATGTGTTCATCTTAAGATTTAATAATAATAACAAAAATACATATTTGTGATAAAAAGACAATAAAATTTTCAAGTATTATTTAATGACACAATAGAAAAGTAACTTCCTGGAAATGTACACCACGTTGAGGAAGACGACGGAAGGTGATACCTTCTGTGCTGATTAAACTAGGAACTCTGTTTTTTCCAGCTTCAGCTATCAGATTCTTATGATACTTATATTGAAACTGGAAGTTATAATATGCTTATTATTTTACTATTTGATAATTTCCAGTTCTTTTAATCACTGTATGTAAAGGATTTTGGTAATTTCTTATCTTTCTCTAATAATTTTGGTCATTTTGTTTTAAAAAATATTGTTTTGAAACAGTGATTGGTAAATACCTGGTTCCTAGGTGCATGTAAGAGAGAATATGATTTAGTGCAATTTTATTAAAGTGATACATTGGAGTATAAGAAACACAAAATTTTAGAATATATGGTGTGTTAACACAGTATTAAAGTATGCCCTTAAGTAGACCAAATGACTGACTGCAGTTCCTCAGAGAAAAACAGGATCAAACAAATTTAGTCTTACATTCTAGTGTTAAAGCAGAAAGAAAATCTGGATATGCCAGAAATTGGGAGAATATTACAGATACATATTTCTCAAATAACAGTAATATTTTAACATGTCTTTATGTTGTATCTCAGATTTAATTAAAATGGTTAATGCTTATAAGGGGTTTGTGGTTTGATAGGAAGCAAAATTGTTAATCAAGTGATTTTAACTATATCCTTCCTTTGAATATGTCCCTCAAACTTAGGCAATGGACAAATAAACTCAAAAATATAAAACCAATTTCAAAATGTGCAAAACCAATATTGTGTAAGAGTCATATATTATGTTTGAAATTTTAACATAATAAAATAGATTGAATAAGAAGGAATTTGACCAATTAATTAATATAGAAACTATTTTTAAGTTATAACCAATATAACAAGAGACCCAGTTTTTAATATTACACTTAATAAATGATTGACTTGGTTATTATTAGCAGTCTCATATTAAACATACTTTAAAATAAAATAAAAATATCCCCATATATTCCCCAATATTGTATGCATAAGTGACAAGAATTGATCATGTTTTATCAAAATTTCACATTACTTTGAACAAATAAGGCAATCCAGTCTATATTTAACAGAGATAGGATTAGCTGACCAGGTTGTTAATTCCCATGCCTTGCTCCCAGACTGGTGATTCTCAAATTCTTCTTTTGCAGAACACCACTATTTCATGCTCTATAATGCTGTTTTTTAATTTTATATTTGATAAGATTTAGTTTGCTAGTACAGTATTTTATTGAGGATTTTGCCTGTACAATTATAATATTTAATAGTGTAATTGCCTTTTTCAGTGATTTGTCTGTTTTTGTATGATTAATATTAACCTTATAGAATTATTTCTGAAATGTTACCTTCTATTCTATTGTTTGGAATACTTTGTGAAGGATTGGTATTAGTTATTTGAATGTTTGATATAATTCACAGGTGAAGCCATCTGGTTCTGAGCTTTGCTTTGTGGAAGTTTATATAATTACTAATTCCATCTCTTTGTTATGAGCCTGTTCAGATTTTCTGTTTCTTCTCAAATCGGTTTTGCTAGTTTATTTTATTCCAGAAATTTCTGCATTTCTTCTAAGTTATCTAATTTGTTGGCACAGAGGCTTTCAGAGTATTCCCTTATAATCCTTTTTTAATTTCTGAAAGGCAAATAGTGATGTTCCTCCTTCTATCCCTTATTTTAGTAATTTAATTCGTTTATATTCTTGATCAGTCTAGGTAATAATTTGTCATTTCACTGATCTTTTAAAAAAATTCCTTCTGCTTTCCTTGATGTTCTCTATTGTTTTACTATCCTCTATTTTATTTCTGTGCTAACTTTTTTGGATATTAATTATTTCCTTCTATTTGCTTTGTGTTTAGATGTCTCTTTTTTTTCTCACTTCTTAAGGTGAAAATTTAGATTATTATTATGAGATTTTTTTTCATATAGGCATTTTTATCTACATATTTCTCTCTAAGGACTGCTTGAGCTTCATCTCATATGTTTTGGAATGTGTTATTTTTATCTTCATTAATCTTAAATTATTATTATTACTTTTGAGACAGAGTTATGTTCTTGCCCCCAGGCTGAAGTGCAATGGCGTGATCTCGGCTCACTGCAACGTCTGCCTCCCGGTTTCAAGTGATTCTCTTGCCTCAGCCTCCTGAGTAGCTGGGATTACAGGCGCCTACCACCACACCCAGCAAATTTTTGTATTTGTAGTAGAGATGAGGTGTCACCATATTGGCCAGGCTGGTCTCGAACTCTTGACCTCAGGTGATCCACCCACCTTGGCCTCCCAAAGTGCTGGAATTACAGGCATGAGCCACCATGCCCAGTAATCTTAAATTATTTTTAATTTCTTTTTTATTTCTTGCTAACCCACCAGTTATTTCGGAGTATGTTGTTTAATTTCCCCATGTTTGTTAATTTTCAACTTTTCTGTCACTAATTTTATTCCATTCAAGTTAGAGAGCATACTTTGTATTATTTAAATCATTTTAAATTTATGAAGATTTGTTTTATGGCGTATCATAAGGTCCATACTGCAGAATGCTCATGAGAAGAATCTATATTTTGCTGTTGTTGAGTAAAGTGTTCTATAGGTACCTCTTAATTTTAGTTGGTTTATAATATTGTATAAGACATATTTTCTTGTAGATTTTCTGCCTAAATTTTTCTATTCATAATTAAAAGGGCAGTATTTAACTATCTAACTATTAATGTTGATCTGTTCATTTCTCCCTTCACTTATGTCAGTTTTACTTTCTGTCTTTTGGTGCTCTAAAATTCAGTGAATATATATTTATAGTAATTTTATCTTCCTGATTGTTCATATAAAATGTCTCTATCTATAGTTACAATTTTTGTTTCAAATTCTATCATGTCTTGTATTAGTATAGCTACTTCAACATTCTTGTGGTTGTGTGTATGATATATAATTTTTCATCCTTTTACTTTCAATCTATTTTTTATCTTTCAATCTAAAGTATGTCTCCTTTATATAGCATATGGTCAGATTTGGGGGTTTTGTTTTGTTTTAATAGCTTCATTAAGATAACATTTATATGAAAGAACTGCAGGTATTTACTGTGTACATTTTGATGAGTTTAGACATGTGCAAACACCCATGATATCATTACCATAATCAAAGGAACAGAAATTTCCAACACCTCCCAAAGTTCTCTTGTGTCCCTTTGGTTTTCTGGTTTGTTTGTTTGTTTGTTTTTTGGTAAAAACACTTAGCATGATATCTACCCTCTTACATTTTGAAGTGCATGATATTGTTAACTATTGGCACTATATTTTATAGTGGATGTCTATAACTTACTCATCTAAAAGTATAATTGAAACTTTATACCCATTGAACAACAACTCTCCATTTCCGTAAACCCACAGCTACTGTCAGTCATGATGGCCTTCTTCGCTTCTATGAGTTTGACTACTGTAAACACTTCATATCAATGGAATTATGCTTATTTATAATTCTGTGACTGACTTATTTCACTTAGCATAATGTCCTCCAGGTTCATCCACGTTGTTACAGATGCAAGACTTCCTCTTTTTTTAGTCAGAATAATTTTCTATTGTATGTGTATATTACTCACTGCTTTAGATTGCATTATTTAATCAATTCACAAATTTGTTATTATTGACACAGTTGATTTTACTTTTGCCAATTTCCATTTAGTTTGCTATATTGTATGTCTTTTTGTTTGTTTCTCTATTAGTCCATGACTTCTTTTTTTAATAATAGTGAATATTTTTCAATGCAGGATTTTAATTTTTAAAGGCTTTTTCAAAATATTTTTGAATTTGTTTTCTTAATGATTGCACCAGAGTTTACCATAGACATTTTTACTTATCATAATCAACTTCAGATATATACTAACTTAATTCCAGTAAGATTCACAACGTGTTACTCTTATATAGCTCTATTCCCTTTCCATTCTTTTCCTGGTGGTATTGTCATACATATTACATCAATATTACATACCCAACAATATATTGCTATAATTATTACTTTATATAATTTGTATGACTTTGAGAAAGCTGGGAGAAAGTGTATTGGTTTACTAGGGTTTCCATAACAAAACACCACAGATCAGATGGAATAAACTACAGAAATTTATGTTCTTAGAGTTCTGGCAGTTAGAAGTCCAAGATTAAAACACCGTCATTTTTTCTTTATTCTGAAACTTTTCTCCTTGGCCTACAGATAGTTGTCTCCTCATTTTGTCTTTTTTCTGTGAATGTATATCCCTGATATCTCTTTGTGTTTTCAAATTTCCTTCTTCTTATAAGGACATAATTCAGATTGGATTAGGACCCACCCTGAGGGCCTTAACTTAATTATCTACTTAAAGGCTCTTTCTCCAAATACAGTCACATTTGGAGATACCGGGGTTAGGGCTTCAACATATGAAGTTGGAGGGGACAAACTTCAGCCCATAACAAACAGCAAGTATATATCTATAGTTTTTTATATTTTAACCTTCCTACTTATTATTTCCATTTCTCTTCATTTGTTCGCATGGATTGTTGCTACCATATAGAATAATTTCTGTGACCTGATCCAGCTTTCATCTCACCCACTTTATTTTTTGAACATTTTTTCTCTTCTTTTTCCTCTCTCCTTTTTTTATTCAGGTAATTTCATTGCCCACATTTTGTTCTTAATGGTGTGCCTACCATACATACGTCAGATTCTATTTACTTTTCTTCATTTTTTTCTCTGTTCTTCAGAATGTGTAATCTCTACCAATCTTCAAGTTTGTTAGTTCTTTCTTCCCCCAATTCAAATCTACTATTAAGCCCTTGAGTGAATTTTTATCTCTCTTATTGTAGCTTCCATCTCCAAAATTTCCATTTGTTTCTTTTTTTTATAATTTCAATTTCTTTGTTGATATTCTCTATTTGATGCCACATTGTCATCATGCTTTCCTTTACTTCTTTAATTATAGTTTCCTTTATTTCTTTGAAGATATTTATAATGGCTATTTTAAATTTGATTTCTGTTCAATCTGATACCTGGGTTACTCTAACAGGCAGTTTCTACTGTCTGTTACTTTTCTTCTTTTTGTGTGTGTGTGTTTCATGTTTATGAAATACAGTAGACATTGTAGACAATATATTATGCCAATTCTAGATATGTGTTCTATCTGCCCCAGGCTTGCTAATGTTCTTTGCACTTCTAATTTTTTTACTGACTGGCTGGGTTATTTTGGTGATGTCTATCTCCCCCTGCTCAAACCTACACACACATAGTGTTAAGGCTCTGATGTTGCTTGTCAAAGGCCACCGTCTTTGGCATGCCCACAATTACCCTGGGATTACAGTGGTTTTGGCAGGGCTCCCTGTGTGTTTTCCTGACCACACCCTTCTGTTAAATTCCCTGCGTGGGGTGGGGGTGGATAAGTTACTCTTCAAGCTAATTCAGTCAACTTCAGACCTCTTTGAAAAAACAGTTCTATAAATCATTGTTTAAGATTTTTTCTGACTCCAGGAGGACTTCTAGCAGTCTCCTTCACCAGTTCTCTCCAGCAAACTAACAGGCCTGTAGTTTAGCTTGCATCTTTGTTGATCTACCAATCTCCATCCAATTGTATTTCACCATAACTGGCACTATTTCTGAGAAATTCAACTTTCGCTTGAATTTCTCCACACATTATTGAAAATGAAATCAGTACTTTGGGAAGCGATTAGGAGCTATTCATTTTAAAGCCCGCTTCTCTCCTCAGGGAAAATATCTGATCCATGACTCTAGAGCTAGGGGTGGGGACAATGGTGCACTTTTTCTTCAGCAAACCCTCCATTTTAGGAGCTGAGTGCTAGGTGGGCAAGGGGGCAAAATAGCCTCAGGATTTTTTGACTTGCTTCTCCCAGTGTGGAACTACCACCTTACGAACTGGGCAAAGGCAGTTGGGGTTTCAGTATTTTCAGCAGTGCCACACTCGTGAGAGCTTCAGTCCGTGAGTGGGTGCTGGGTAGAAGAAAAGAGCTTCTCACGGTCTCTCAACTGCGCTTGCCCAGAACCTAGCCTTAGCAACATGTACTGAGGTGAAGATGTTGGTATCCCATGCCTCCCAGAAACATAGGCCTCCAAATGGGAGCCAGGGGAAGGAAGAGCCCTATGTTCTTGGCAAAAACAGTCTGAAACTAAGTTTCTTTTTTGTTGAGCTTGAAAGGAAGAAGGAGATAGAGTTCTTGGTTCAAATATCACAGACTACTGGTTTTCTTATTATATTTTAGTTTATTTTGTTTAAAGATTTTTCTTAATTTCCTGTATGCCCTTAGAACAATCTCCAGAGAATTTCAAAGTGTTTTTTTGGGTTTCCTTGTTTGTTTGTTTTGTTTTTACTCATTTGCTTGGGGTGAGAGTCCAAGGATCTCTCATGGTGTCAGGCTTAATGTTGGTCTTAAATATTATTTTATCTGTTATTAAGATAGCCACTCCAGCTCCTTTTTTATTACTATTTTCATGGTATTCCTTTTTAAATCTTTTTAATCCCAATTGGTTTGTGTTTTTGAACCCAAAGTTTGTCTCTTTTCTTTTACCCATCTTGTCAATCTTTCCTGTTTGATTGAAGTGTTTAGTCTGTTAAATTTAAGTCAATCTGTAATCTAGTAGATTTTATATGTCACTTTTATATTTCCTTTATATATGACTAATGTCTTTGTTCATCTATTTCTCTGTTACTGCCTGAGTTTTTTAATAGTTATTTTGTATAACATTTTAATTCCTTTTAGTTCCTTTTACTTCATGATTTTCTAATTGTTTTCTTAATAGTTACCCTGAGGATTACAATCAGCGTCTAATGTAAAACAATCTAACTCAGATGAATACCAACTGAATTTCAATATAACTCAGAAACTTTGTATCTGCAATGTATCTCTTTTTCCTAGCCTTTCCCTAGTGTTATTATACCAATTTCATCTTAATGCATTATAAGCCCATAAAGCAGTTTTATATTTATTGTCCTACTCCTGCTTATTTTACGCTTATTTTTTTTTGTCTTTTTCTTTTTCTTCCCTTTTGTGGAGAACAGGGTCTCGCTATATTGCCCAGGCAGGTCTCGAACTCCTGGGCTCAAGCTATCCTGCCGCCTCTGCCTCCCTGAGAGCTGGGATTACAGGCATGAGCCACCGCACCCAGCCCTCCTGCTTATTTTAAATGAGAAAGGCAAATATAAAGAGTTGCAAAGAAAATGAAAATTTACAGCTTGTTTTTAAATATATATTTACCAGTGTAGTCACCTTTCTTCATGCCTTTTATTACCTCTTGTGGTTTTGATTAATTTCTTGTGTCCTTTTATCTCAGCTGAAATATTTCTTGTGCCACAGTTCTGCTAGTAATGAATTGTTTTAGTTATTCTTTACTTTAGAATATCTTTTCTCCTTCATTTTTGAAGGACAGTTTTTTTGTTTTCTTCTCTTTTTTTAAAAATTTTTTTGAAGGAGAGTTTTTTCTGTATACATTGTACTTCATCAACTCGATTTCTTGCAGTGTACTGAATACATAATCCTATTGTCTTCTATCTTCCAGCATTTCAGATGGAAAGTCAGCTGTTAATCATATTAAGGAGCCACTGTAGACACTGAGTCAATTTTGTATTGCTACTTACAAGATTGTCTATATCTTAGCCTTTCCACTGTTTGATTATTATTATCTATATGTGGATTGCCTTAAGTTTATCCTACAAAGTGTTCTTTGTGCTTCTTGGATGGGGAAATTAATGTTTTTCATCAAATTTTAGAAGTATTCATTCTTTATTTTTAAAATGTTTTTTTTTTTTACCTCTTTCTCTCTCTTGTCTTTTGGAAATTCTCATTAGACTTATGTTGGTGTCCCACAGGCATCTGGAGCTCTGTTAGTTTTTCTTTATTATTTTTCTCCCTGTTCCTCAAAAGAAATAATATCAATTGACGTATTTTTAAATGCACTGCTTCTTTTTTTCTTTTGCCATACCAAACCTGCTGTTGAGCCCCTCTAGTAATTTTTAGTTTCAGGGATGTTATTTTTCAATTCTAGAATTTCTAATTGGTTCTTTTGTATCATTTCTATCTATTTAATTGATGTTGTCTATTTGGTGACACATCATTGTATCTCATATGCAGCATTAAAGATCTTTGACATATTTTGGGGATCAGGCAAGTTAGTTTAATCCAACACATGGGCATCTTTTCCCCCATATGTTCCTCTCATGTTTCATCAGGCTTTTGTTTGACCCAACTGCTGCAGCAATCTCACACATAATTGCTGTGGATTGATTTCAGCAAACATCCTGGTGTGGTAGGTGTTCTCCCTTAAGTCAGGTCAAATAAAGACAAATGCATTACAAATTAAGGCTTGAAGTTTTCCAGGAAGCAGCAAGACAGGATAGATAAAAACAGTGCTCAGGAATAAGATTTTTTTGAAGAAGTCCAATCTCAGTCTTTCCCTTCTTCAGGTTGTAAGCTACAGAGTTTTACAACTTCCGTGGATGCAAGGCTGCTGCAGAGCTGTCAAAAGGAGGATGGGAGTTACAACACACAAGTTCCAATGCAACAAACTCCACTGATCTTACCAAAGTTTGGAGTTTTTCTTGGATAAACACTACTCCTGAGATTGTTGCATGCCTCTCTGTATTTACCAGTGTTCTGAAAAAGTAAATTTTCACAACCCTTACCTGTGGTTTTTGTTGCTTATATAGAGGGATAAATGTATGGTGGTTCTTTTTATTTATTTATTTATTCATTATTATTATACTTTAAGTTTTAGGGTACATGTGCACAATGTGCAGGTTAGTTACATATGATACATGTGCCATGCTGGTGCGCTGCACCCACTACCTCGTCATCTAGCATTAGGTATATCTCCCAATGCTATCCCTCCCTCCTCCCCCGACCCCACAACAGTCCCCAGAGTGTGATGTTCCCCTTCCTGTGTCCATGTGTTCTCATTGTCAATTCCCACATATGAGCGAGAATATGCAGTGTTTGGTTTTTTGTTCTTGTGATAGTTTACCGAGAATGATGATTTCCAATTTCATCCATGTCCCTACAAAGGACATGAACACATCATTTTTTATGGCTGCATAGTATTCCATGGTGTATATGTGCCACATTTTCTTAATCCAGTCTATCATTGTTGGACATTTGGGTTGGTTCCAAGTCTTTGCTATTGTGAATAATGCCGCAATAAACATACGTGTGCATGTGTCTTTATAGCAGCATGATTTATAGTCCTTTGGGTATATACCCAGTAACGGGATGGCTGGGTCAAATGGTATTTCTAGTTCTAGATCCCTGAGGAATCGCCACACTGACTTCCACAATGGTTGAACTAGTTTACAGTCCCACCAACAGTGTAAAAGTGTTCCTATTTCTCCACATCCTCTCCGGCACCTGTTGTTTCCTGACTTTTTAATGATTGCCATTCTACCTGGTGTGAAATGGTATCTCATTGTGGTTTTGATTTGCATTTCTCTGATGGCCAGTGATGGTGAGCATTTTTTCATGTGTTTTTTGGCTGCATAAATGTCTTCTTTTGAGAAGTGTCCGTTCATGTCCTTTGCCCACTTTTTGATGGGGTTGTTTGTTTTTTTCTTGTAAATTTGTTTGAGTTCATTGTAGATTCTGGATATTAGCCCTTTGTCAGATGAGTAGGTTGCAAAAATTTTCTCCCATTTTGTAGGTTGCCTGTTCACTCTGATGGTAGTTTCTTTTGCTGTGCAGAAGCTCTTGAGTTTAATTAGATCCCATTTGTCAATTTTGGCTTCTGTTGCCATTGCTTTTGGTGTTTTAGACATGAAGTCCTTGCCCATGCTTGTGTCCTGAATGGTAATGCCTAGGTTTTCTTCTAGGGTTGTTATGGTTTTAGGTCTAACGTTTAAGTCTTTAATCCATCTTGAATTAATTTTTGTATAAGGTGTAAGGAAGGGATCCAGTTTCAGCTTTCTACATATGGCTAGCCAGTTTTCCCAGCACCATTTATTAAATAAGGAATCCTTTCCCCATTGCTTGTTTTTCTCAGGTTTGTCAAAGATCAGATAGCTGTAGATATGTGGCGTTATTTCTGAGGGCTCTGTTCTGTTCCATTGATCTATATCTCTGTTTTGGTACCAGTACCATACTGTTTTGGTTACTGTAGCCTTGTAATATAGTTTGAAGTCAGGTAGTGTGATGCCTCCAGCTTTGTTCTTTTGGCTCAGGATTGACTTGGCGATGCGGGCTATTTTTTGGTTCCTTATGAACTTTAAAGTAGTTTTTTCCAATTCTGTGAAGAAAGTCATTGGTAGCTTGATGGGGATGGCATTGAATCTATAAATTACCTTGGGCAGTATGGCCATTTTCACGATATTGATTCTTCCTACCCATGAGCATGGAATGTTCTTCCATTTGTTTGTATCCTCTTTTATTTCCTTGAGAAGTGGTTTGTAGTTCTCCTTGAAGAGGTCCTTCACATCCCTTGTAAGTTGAATTCCTAGGTATTTTATTCTCTTTGAAGCAATTGTGAATGGGAGTTCACTCATGATTTGGCTCTCTGTTTGTCTGTCGTTGGTGTATAAGAATGCTTGTGATTTTTGTACATTGATTTTGTATCCTGAGACTTTGCTGAAGTTGCTTATCAGCTTAAGGAGATTTTGGGCTGAGACAATGGGGTTTTCTAGATATACAATCATGTCATCTGCAAACAGGGACAATTTGACTTCCTGTTTTCCTAATTGAATACCCTTTATTTCCTTCTCCTGCCTGACTGCCCTGGCCAGAACTTCCAACACTATGTTGAATAGGAGAGGTGAGAGAGGGCATCCCTGTCTTGTGCCAGTTTTCAAAGGGAATGCTTCCAGTTTTTGCCCATTCAGTATGATATTGGCTGTGGGTTTGTCATAGATAGCTCTTATTATTTTGAGATACGTCCCATCAATACCTAATTTATTGAGAGTTTTTAGCATGAGGGGTTGTTGAATTTTGTCAAAGGCCTTTTCTGCATCTATTGAGATAATCATGTGGTTTTTGTCTTTGGTTCTGTTTATATGCTGGATTACATTTATTGATTTGCATATGTTGAACCAGCCTTGCATCCCAGGGATGAAGCCCACTTGATCATGGTGGATAAGCTTTTTGATGTGCTGCTGGATTCGGTTTGCCAGTATTTTATTGAGGAATTTTGCAGCAATATTCATCAAGGATATTGGTCTAAAATTCTCTTTTTTGGTTGTGTCTCTGCCCGGCTTTGGTATCAGGATGATGCTGGCCTCATAAAATGAGTTAGGGAGGATTCCCTCTTTTTCTGTTCATTGGAATAGTTTCAGAAGGAATGGTACCAGTTCCTCCTTGTACCTCTGGTAGAATTCGGCTGTGAATCCATCTGGTCCTGGACTCTTTTTTGTTGGTAAGCTATTGATTATTGCCACAATTTCAGCTCCTGTTATTGGTCTATTCAGAGATTCAACTTCTTCCTGGTTTAGTCTTGGGAGAGTGTATGTGTCGAGGAATTTATCCATTTCTTCTAGATTTTCTAGTTTATTTGCGTAGAGGTGTTTGTAGTATTCTCTGATGGTAGTTTGTATTTCTGTGGGATCAGTGGTGATATTCCCTTTATCATTTTTTATTGTGTCTATTTGATTCTTCTCTGTTTTTTTCTTTATTAGTCTTGCTAGCAGTCTATCAATTTTGTTGATCCTTTCAAAAAACCAGCTCCTGGATTCGTTAATTTTTTGAAGGGTTTCTTTTGTCTCTATTTCCTTCAGTTCTGCTCTGATTTTAGTTATTTCTTGCCTTCTGCTAGCTTTTGGATGTGTTTGCTCTTGCTTTTCTAGTTCTTTTAATTGTGATGTTAGGGTATCAATTTTAGATCTTTCCTGCTTTCTCTTGTGGGCATTTAGTGCTATAAATTTCCCTCTACACACTGCTTTGAATGTGTCCCAGAGGTTCTGGTATGTTGTGTCTTTGTTCTCGTCGGTTTCAAAGAACATCTTTATTTCTGCCTTCATTTTGTTATGTACTCAGTAGTCATTCAGGAGCAGGTTGTTCAGTTTCCATGTAGTTGAGCGGTTTTGAGTGAGATTCTTAATCCTGAGTTCTAGTTTGATTGCACTGTGGTCTGGGAGACAGTTTGTTATAATTTCTATTCTTTTACATTTGCTGAGGAGAGCTTTACTTCCAAGTATGTCGTCAATTTTGGAATAGGTGTTGGGTGGTGCTGAAAAAAATGTATATTCTGTTGATTTAGGGTGGAGAGTTCTGTAGATGTCTATTAGGTCCACTTGGTGCAGAGCTGAGCTCAATTCCTAGGTATCCTTGTTGACTTTCTGTCTCATTGATCTGTTTAATGTTCACACTGGGGTGTTAAAGTCTCCCATTATTAATGTGTGGGAGTCTAATTCTCTTTGTAGGTCACTCAGGACTTGCTTTATGAATCTGGGTGCACCTGTATTGGGTGCATATATATTTAGGATAGTTAGCTCTTCTTGTTGAATTGATCCCTTTACCATTATGTAATGGCCTTCTTTGTCTCTTTTGATCTTTGTTGGTTTAAAGTCTGTTTTATCAGAGACTAGGATTGCAACCCCTGCCTTTTTTTGTTTTCCATTGGCTTGGTAGATCTTCCTCCATCCTTTTATTTTGAGCCTATGTGTGTCTCTGCATGTGAGATGGGTTTCCTGAATACAGCACACTGATGGGTCTTGACTCTTTATCCAATTTGCCAGTCTGTGTCTTTTAATTGGAGCATACAGTCCATTTACATTTAAGGTTAATATTGTTATGTGTGAATTTGATCCTGTCATTATGATGTTAGCTGGTTATTTTGCTCGTTAGTTGATGCAGTTTCTTCCTAGTCTCGATGGTCTTTACATTTTGGCATGATTTTGCAGCAGCTGGTACCGGTTGTTCCTTTCCATGTTGAGTGCTTCCTTCAGGAGCTCTTTTAGGGCAGGCCTGGTGGTGACAAAATCTCTCAGCATTTGCTTGTCTGTAAAGGATTTTATTTCTCCTTCACTTATGAAGCTTAGTTTGGCTGGATATGAAATTCTGGGTTGAAAATTCTTTTCTTTAAGAATGTTGAATATTGGCCCCCACTCTCTTCTGGCTTGTAGAGTTTCTGCCGAGAGATCCGCTGTTAGTCTGATGGGCTTCCCTTTGAGGGTAACCCGACCTTTCTCTCTGGCTGCCCTTAACATTTTTTCCTTCATTTCAACTTTGGTGAATCTGACAATTATGTGTCTTGGAGTTGCTCTTCTCGAGCAGTATCTTTGTGGCATTCTCTGTATTTCCTGAATCTGAATGTTGGCCTGCCTTGCTAGATTGGGGAAGTTCTCCTGGATAATATCCTGCAGAGTGTTTTCCAACTTGGTTCCATTCTCCCCGTCACTTTCAGGTACACCAGTCAGACGTAGATTTGGTCTTTTCACATAGTCCCATATTTCTTGGAGGCTTTGCTCGTTTCTTTTTATTCTTTTTTCTCTAAACTTCCCTTCTCGCTTCATTTCATTCATTTCATCTTCCATCACTGATACCCTTTCTTCCAGTTGATCGCATCGGCTCCTGAGGCTTCTGCATTCTTCACGTAGTTCTTGAGCCTTGGTTTTCAGCTCCATCAGCTCCTTTAAGCACTTCTCTGTATTGGTTATTCTAGTTATACATTCTTCTAAATTTTTTTCAAAGCTTTCAACTTCTTTGCCTTTGGTTTGAATGTCCTCCCATAGCTCAGAGCAATTTGATCGTCTGAAGCCTTCTTCTCTCAGCTCATCAAGGTCATTCTCCGTCTCTTTGTTCCGTTGCTGTTGAGGAACTGCGTTCCTTTGGAGGAGGAGAGGCGCTCTGCTTTTTAGAGTTTCCAGTTTTTCTGCTCTGTTTTTTCCCCATCTTTGTGGTTTTATCTACTTTTGGTCTTTGATGATGGTGATGTACAGATTGGTTTTTGGTGTGGATGTCCTTTCTGTTTGTTAGTTTTCCTTCTAACAGACCGGACCCTCAGCTGCAGGTCTGTTGGAGTACCCGGCCGTGTGAAGTGTCAGTCTGCCCCTGCTGGGGTGGTGCCTCCCAGTTAGGCTGCTCGGATGTCAGCAGTCAGGGACCCACTTAAGGAGGCAGTCTGCCCATTCTCAGATCTCCAGCTGCTTGCTGGGAGAACCACTGTTTTCTTCAAAGCTGTCAGACAGGGACATTTAAGTCTGCAGAGGTTACTGCTGTCTTTTTGTTTGTCTGTGCCCTGCCCCCAGAGGTGGAGCCTACAGAGGCAGGCAGGCCTCCTTGAGCTGTGGTGGGCTCCACCCAGTTCCAGCTTCCAGGCTGCTTTGTTTACCTAAGCAAGCCTGGGCAATGGCGGGCGCCCCTCCCCCAGCCTCGCTGCCGCCTTGCAGTTTGATCTCAGACTGCTGTGCTAGCAATCAGCGAGACTCCGTGGGCGTAGGACCCTCCGAGCCAGGTGCGGGATATAATCTCCTGGCGCGCCCTTTTTTAAGCCCATCGGAAAAGCGCAGTATTCAGGTGGGAGTGACCCGATTTTCCAGGTGCCGTCTGTCACCCCTTTCTTTGACTAGGAAAGGGAACTCCCTGACCCCTTGTGCTTCCCGAGTGAGGCAATGCCTCACCCTGCTTCGGCTCGTGCATGGTGTGCGCACCCACTGACCTGTGCCCACTGTCTGGCACTCCCTAGTGAGATGAACCCCGTACCTCAGATGGAAATGCAGAAATCACCCATCTTCTGCGTCACTCACGCTCGGAGCTGTAGACCGGAGCTGTTCCTATTCGGCCATCTTGGCTCCTCCAACTGTATGGTGGTTCTAATGCTGTAATTCTCTGCCTTTCTTTCACTGGTTGTCTAGTTTTGTAATTTGAAAAATATTTTATGTTTTAGCTTAGGCTCTTGCTTCTCAAAGTGTTATCCTTGGATCAGTAGCACCAGCATCACCTGGGAGCTTGCTAGAAAGACAAAATTTGAGGCCCACTTCAATCCAATTGAGTCAGAATCTGCATTTAATAACATCTCCAGAAGATTTGTTTGTACATTAATATTAGAATCACGTTGTTCTAGGTCAGCAGGTTTCAAAGTTTAATAAATGGGTGAGGCCAGGCTTGGTGGCTCATGCCTGTAATCCCAGCACTTTGGGAGGCCAAGGCGGAGGGATCATGAGGTCAGGAGTTCAAGACCAGCCTGGCCAACATGGTGAAACTCAGTCTCTACAAAAATTCAAAAAAATTAGCCGCGCATGGTGGCATGCACCTGTAATCCCAGCTACTTGGGAGGCTGAGGTGGAAGAATCACTTGAACCTGGAGGCTGAGGTTGCAGTGAGCGGAGATTGTGCCATTGCATTCCAGCCTGGGCGACAGAGTGAGACTCCGTCTAAAAAAATAAAAATAAAAAAATTAAATAAATGGGCAAACTATATTAAAAGCATCTTAAGAACTTGTTTTAAATAAAGATTTCTGGAACCCATTCCAGACCTGCGTAGAATTCATATAGGTAGAACTTTGGAAATCTGCATTTTGAACACACTTTAAGTAATTATTATGCAGATTGAAGTGTGAGAGCTGCTGATTTAGAAACTGCAGTTATCAAGTAGGATTATTTTTTTCTTTTAACAGGTAGTTCATATTGCATTTTTACAGTTAATATTTCTGTATATTTTAGGAAAACGTGCTCTTTGTATTTAAGCAGGGATGATTCAGACACATGTAGATTGCTATTTTGTCTCAAAATGGTGTATGTACAGTGTATAAAAATATGATATTTATTACGTTGGGCTAGTCATTTTATTTGTGTGTCAAATTTTATGATCCTTGTGACTACTTTTTAGCCAGAACAGATTATCACCAAAATAAATTTCTCCAATTAGTTACCTTGGATTTATAGAAATATAAATAAATGTTGGAATATTCTTCTGCCTCATAATTTTATGAAATTTAGATGAGAATTTAGAATTTAGTAGCTGACTTTAAATGTAAATTACTCTCTGGAGAGGAATTCTTCTTTATGTATTTGCCTAATTGTGACTTAATAATAATATAGGTGAATCTGGTAGTCTGAAAGATGTTTCACAAAGTTCACAGTTTACATTTTACTATAGTTAATTTTGTCTGTTTAAAAATTTTTAGTATTTAATATTCACATAATTCTTTATAATTCTTATATGAAAGCATCAGAAATATCAATTTAAAACAATAGTACAGAATCTGATGTTGGCATTAGTTCAGCCACTGTGGAAAGCAGTTTGGAGATTTCTCAAAGAACTTAAAATAGAGTTACCATTTGATCCAGCAATCGTAATAGTGGGTATATACCCAAAGATAAGCAAATCATTCTACCAGAAATACACATGCACTCGTATGTTCATTGCAGCACTATTCACAGTAAGAAAGACATGGAATCAACTTAGGTGCCCATCAATGGTGGATTGGATAAAGAAAACGTGGTACATATGCACCATGGAATACTCTGCAGCCATAAAAATGAAAGAGATCATGTTCTTTGCAAAAACATGAAAACAGCTGGAGGCCATCATCCTAAGAGAATTGATGCAGAAACTAAAAACCAATTACCACATGTCCTTATTTATAAGTGGGAGCCAAACATTGGGTACACATGGACATAAAGATGGGAACAATACACACTGGCAACTACTAGAGGGCAGAGGGATGGAGGGGCAAGGACTGCAATACTACCTATTGGGTACTATGCTCACTATCTGGGTAATGAGATCAATTATACCCCAAACCTCAGCATCATGCAATATACCTGTGTACCAACCCTGCACATGAACTCTCTGCATCTAAAATAAAAGTTGAAAGTTTTAAAAATAATAAAATAAAAAATAAAAATTTGACTAAAGAAAAAAATAGAATAAGAAAAATAATAAATTTTAGGATGTAGGAAAATGTGTTTTAGTTTATATGTGCAGAGTTGTGTGTGTGTTTGTGGGTGTGTGTGTGTGTATCAAGACAAAAACTTTTGATTAATTTATTACTAGCCTAGTTTTTCTCAAAAAGCTAGCATTTTGGGATCTCAATAACTGTTACATAATAAAAGGGGTTTCTTTTGATAAATCAAGTTTGGATATTTTATTCTTAACAATATTTGACACAATCTGTTCACTTCTGAAGGTAGAATTAGCCATTCGTGACATGAATTTTCATGACATCTTTAATGTACTGCTAAGGCATCATTTGTATGCTATTCCTACCCTATGATGTGAGCAGCCTGAGGCAAAAATGTTTGTGTTTCCAGAACCTCATGTCCTACAAGTAAGAAACAAATGCGTCTCTATAACTATTTCTTGAATATATGAGCATTGTCATATAGGAAGACTTTCCATTGCTGTGTGATTTCAGAAGATGGCATAATTATTAACATACTGATTGACTAGCTACCCACATCTCATGTCCACTCCTGAAAGAAACATTTTTCTTTTATGGAAATAGGTTTAGAAATTATGAAACGTGTACAGCTCTGGTGATGTGTAAGACCAGTGTGATATTTCCTGTTTGTTTCTGGAATATAATTTGACCAGTCACTTATCTTCTAAATGTCCTTGCTATGAGAATTCAGTGCTGCCATTCCATATAAAAAGATACTATGTTTCACATATTTCCATTCCCGATCTTTCCCTTCTTTCTAACATATATCTTTTGAGTTGCAGAATGAAAGCACATGGATTTTTTTAAACTGTAGTTTATTCTGATTCTAAGGATATTTTGTGAATGATAGGAAAAAATAAAAGAAGAATGTTTTGTGGTTATCGGAATTTTGTTGCAATCAATTAAAAATAATTATTTCTTCATTTATTCCAGTGTCATTTTGGTGGAATCCTCAACATTTGTCTCTTCGCCAACGAAGTTAACTGAATCCAGGCAATACCCGAAACATGAGTAAGTGTCTATATTTTGTACTCATAAGTATCTGAGAAAAAGTTTTGAGAAATAAGTAGTCAAGGAAACTAGTTATATAATTACACAATAGTTTACATTTATTCAAAATGTTTAATTTACCTAATTCACACTCATATCCAAATATATATTTATATGTTACTAGATTCATGTGCATAAAAATTGAATAAATCTGAACTTGATTAAATATAGTAGATTTTCATTATTTGTGGTAGTTATGTTCTATAAAATTTCTGCACATATTATGTTTGTGAATACTGAACCATTATTCCAAGAAGAAACACATATAATCATACAGATTACAATAGTAAACTCTAAAAATAACCTGTCATGGAAGACTCTATTTTCTTTTTTTTTTTACAAAATGAAAACAAAGTTCAGAAGTATCAGATGGCTTTCCTGACACTGCCCCAATAAAAGGCATCAGAGAAGGTATTCAAACCCTGTCCACTAGGCCTGAGTGTCTTGCATTACTCTGCACTGCCCACTATTGTCTCTACCTCTTGTCATCTCTATACTTTTATAAGGATTGAAATAAGAAGGCCCCTTGTCACCTTGTTTGACCTCAGCTGCGAATTGGTGCAACCGGTGATGAGAACTTTTCACCACTCTGTGCACGTCCTTTAACACCATGAACGCACCATGAGTATTGATTTTGGGGTTGCAAATACATTTTAGGAAGTAGGTGGATTTGCAAATATGGAATTCATGGATAATGAGGATTGACAGGATTTAAATTTATTCTACCTACTTTATGAGGGCTATATTTAGTTTATAAAGAAATTTGCTGAATAATGAAACAGGATTTTTAAAAAAATTGATTGTTTTATGTTGCTCCTCTGTTTTACACTATAGAATCACTATATAAAGTTAAGTACAATTAAAAACAATGTTATCAAGGTTAAAGAAAGTTAAGTAGAGAGAAAATAATGTAGATGTCTATTAATGAAATGCATGCCTATGTTGACCATTACTACTATGTTTTTAGTTTATTTCACACCCTTGTTTGTCTTTGTATAGTGCTTGACAGCATCAATATCATCCTTTTAGATCCAAAAATGTATCAAGGGGCAAGAATTTGACAATTTAGATGACAGGAATTCCCAGTGTCATTAGAAACCGTTAAAGTGCTTGTACAGATCTTGCTAAGATTAAAATGAGTATAGTTTTTATTTTTTCAAAAGTGACTTGTATTTAACTTAACACTTTTGGGAGATTATATGAGTTGCATCTATTATGAGATGTTTGATTCCTTCAATGGTTATTCTGTGAGAAAAGTTATTAAAGAAGAAACCATTTTTGTCTCACTGAATTTATTTTATTGAACGCCAATGTCATGCTTACCTAGGGCTTTTGAAGTCTTCTTTCACATTTTGCTTTAGTGAACAATAAAATATGAATTGATGTATTGAGCTATAAGGTAGCATTAAAGATACCAAAAGAATAAGAGGATTGCAGGTATTTTATGTTAATTTCTTTGTAGATGTGAAATTCAAGTTTTACTGAAGTATTGCTAAAAACACTTCTGTAAACAGTTCTCCTAGATTTTTATCTTTTCAGCCCCTTGATTCTTCTTGATTAAGTGGCTGCTTTGTGATTGTAGATTTTGCCTGAATGGACTTCAAATAACTTCTTCACTTTAATTGTGTAAAATTTATAGTATATGGTAAATTAGAGTCAGATCTTGAAGTAACACTGTAGGTATCTGTGAGTATAAATAACTCAAAATTGAATCAGTGTAATGAACAGAAAAATTGAGTATACTTTCAGGATTTAGAATACAAAATATGATTTCTGCATCTCAAATTTATCATGTTTTTCTTTATATAATACTCTGGAATGGGTTTGATTAGATCCAGAGTTCTGGGATTGTTGAAGCCATGGAATCTAAAGCTGCAAGTAAGGTTATCTTTTTTGTGGTAGTGCTCCCCAAATCAAAAAGAAAATAGAGCAAACAATTATAAAAGCATTTACAATTTAATTTTTCCAGGAAAGGAAACCTTGGAAGTACTCATCCCAAATAATTACCAATTCAGCATGAAATATAGCTTAAGAAGTGTGCCTGCCATGGTCCCAAGCATTATTGATCATTCTTTCTAATTAGTGTCATACATTTTATTTATAATGCTATACTTCCTTAGTTCTTCTCTCAAGCCTTTCTGTGATGAAAAACAAAACAAAACAACAGCCAAGAAAAACTTAAAGATGCTGAGACATTGAGTGTTGGGTCAGAGAGAACATTGATCCCAAATAGAGCAGTCAGGCTCATGCAGATTAACTCTGCAAGAATAACTCAGAGCCATACATTTAAAATACTACGGATTTACTCATGTGTACCCCTGTGAAGACTGTCTCCTAAATCAAAGGCAAGGGCAATTCTTATAAAGGCAAAAGCCACAAAGTTTCTTAAGGAAGAGGGCTTGTCAATTAATGCAAGCTCTTGGTTTATCATTTAGGGACTAGCATGAGATGATGGCTGAGGCCCAAGTCCGTATGTTGAATTGAGATAAAGTAGTCTTAATTTCATGCAAAAGGTTGTTTTTCTGACAGTTCTAAAGAGAAGAAGTTACTATGGCTCCTTCATCTGGAATTCTGCCTGCTTCCTGTATAACACCTCCAGACTCTAGATCATGTAGCACGAAAATCTGTATTCAGTTTCTGAGGGATTGATTAAACTATCCAGAGCTCCGACAATCAAATCCACTTCTTAGGCAATGGAAAGGAAGATGCACAAGGATAAGAGTGTGCCTTTTTCTTTTAGGGAAGTTTGCCAGAAATACCACACAGCACTTCTGTTTGTAGCCCATTGGCCAGATTTTAATTAAATGACAAAACCTAGCTGGAGGAAAGACTGGAAAACCTCCTTTCTCCATACACATCTAAATAAAATTAGGGTTTTGTCGGTGAGGAGAAAAGGAAAATGATTATTGGGGTAATTAACCAAGTCTCCACCATGAAGGGACACAAAGACTTTTATCCGCAAGTAGCACAAAACGATCTAATATTTCATCAATCTGGCTTCTTTGGCATAATGAGGCATTTCTATCTTTAAATATGTCTTAATAAAATAATACTTAGTAACGTTACACGTTACTTTTAAAAGCTTTTTATTGTTTATCTTGAAGAGATTTCCATATACAAACTGAAATTTAATAACATGTATTTTAAATCATGACCAGAATGAAAGTCAATAGCAGTGCCTCTATGATTAATTTTCTTATGCAATCCACCATATAATAATCATTATATTGTCTCAATAAAATCCTAGTATAATCTCTATGTTTAACCAGCATGGTAGCAAGTAAAACAAGAAAATGTTTTTAAAAAAACTCCATAAATAAACTGGATTTTTTAAAGAGGTTTTCTCAAATGTTCCTGTTTTCCTCTACTTAGGCTCATGGTAATATTGCACTTCTCCACCAATGTGGAATTTATGTGTCAACATATAGCCTATTTGGCCAATGGTATGTGAGGAGAAGTGCTGTATGTTATTTCCAAATGGTAGCTTTAAGAACCAGTGAGAAATTTTTCATGTTCCCTTCTCCTGCCACAACTATCGTTGAAACACATATAGAAAGGAGCCTCCTGATCAGGCATGCTGGCTCACGCCTGTAATCCCAGCACTTTGGGAGGCTGAGGTGGACAGATCACTTGAGCTCAGGAGTTCAAGACCAGCCTGGGCAACATGGTGAAACCCTGTCTCTACTAAAAATACAAAAATTAGCTGGACATAGTGGCGGGTGCCACTACTGGTAGTCATCTCAGCTACTTGGTAGGCTGAGGCATGAGAATCATTTATGCCTGGGTGGCAGAGGTTGCAGTGAGATGAGATTGCGCCACTGCACTCCAGCCTAGGTGACAGAGTGAGACCCTATTTCAAAAAATAAAAATAAAGAAGAAAGGGGCCTCCTTCACCAAGGATCCCTGAGTGTACCCTCCACCATGATAGACATGTAGCATTAGCAAGAAATAAACTATTGTGCTAATCCATTGATACATGAGGCTGTATGTTATTGCAGCATGACCTAGCCTATACTATTAACTGATACTCCTCCTCAGATTCACATCAGCTAATATCTCTCCAAATAATACATTTTCTCTTCTTAAGTGAGTAGTAAAGTATGAAATAGTAAGCATTGTTAAACTGGCTTTAAAATAATGATAGACTCGTCTACTTAAAAAGCCTCCATGAGCTGCTCTTTGTAAGCAATCAGATACATATATTATAAAATAACCCATTTGGAACCACATGAATGATAAAACTTTATATTCATCACACATTTTATGTTGTGGGGACATGATCCATGAGCATAATTAGAGCATTTAGTAAGTTCTTATTCTAATGAAACCCAAAGGAATTATCAGGAACGTATCAGTGTAGACAACTGATTTTAGCCAAACCTTGAAATTAATGAATGGAACAGCTGGGCTCAGAAATGAGTACTTTGGCAATTATTTCTAATGGTTATAAGACCTGCTGTGTTTTTTTTCCAGCAATATTGAGTTATTTAATCATTCAACATATTCTTATTAAGTGGCAACTCAGGCACTGGAAAAACATAAAGATAAATAAGTCACATATCTGGCCCTCGAGGAACCAATCATCAAGCAGAAAACAAAAATCCCTACCAGTGGAGGAAGTTTTACAGTGAAGAAAGTATTTGTTAGTATTAGATGAAAGTATTAGATGACAAAAATACTCTATGATCTGATTGCTTAAGAATATTACTATCTAGATGTTATGGAGAATTTCATGGAAGAGAAGACATTTTAAAAAAAGTATTTTGGTATTTTCTCTTATTATAAACAAATTGTGACCTGAAATATGAGTAAGATCTTGATGGCCAGAATCTAGAGAAGGAGGAGAACTTTCTTATGAGCATAGGAACATGGGTGGAGGGAATTCCAGAAGCAATGGGTAGGGGCATGCAAGGGGAAATAAAAGACATACAAACTGCAGGGCCAATATAGAAGCATAGGAATTAATGTTGAGAAGGTAACAAAGTGTTTATCATTCTGCTTTGAAAGTATTTCTCACAAACCTATGTTTTATTGTAGACTGTATGCTCCATGAGCTTAGGGGCTTCATCATTAATCTCTATGTCTCAGAAGAGCTTGGTTCAGAATTGCAACCAAAAATGAAAGAAGGCCCTGATAGAGATAATTTTCTGGGTCTTGATTTTTGTTAAAAAAATAAATAAATAAATAAAAGACTGGTTGCAGTGGCTCATGCCTGTAATCCCAGCACTTTGGGAGGCTGGGGCGGGAGGATCACCTGAGGTCGGGAGTTCGAGACCAGCCTGACCAATATGGTGACGCCCTCTCTCTATTAAAAATACAAAATTAGCTGGGTGTGGTGGCTCATGCCTGTAATCCCTGCTACTCAGGAGGCTGAGGCAGGAGAATCACTTGGACCTGGGAGGCGGAGGTTGCAGTGGGCCACGATTGTGCCATTGCACTCCAGCCTGGGCAACAAGAGCAAAACTTCGTCTCAGAAAAAAAAAAAAAAGAAAGCTGGATTCTGGAGACTCATGATTTTAAAATATTTCTTTTTACTATGCTGAATAATTAGGAACAATTAGAATTAGGCAAGGGTCTTAGTCTGTTAGGGTGCTATAAAAAAATACTATCGATTGAGGGGCTTAAACAACAAATATTTATTTTGCACAGTTCTGGAGGCTGGGAGGCTGGTGAGTCCAAGATAAAGGCACTGGCAGGTTCGGTGTCTGGTAAGGGCCAAATTCCTGGTTCATAGAAGACAGTCTTCTTGCTGCATCCTCCCATGGCAGAAGGGGTGAGGGAGCTTTCTGGAGTCTTTTTTATAAGGGCACTTATCTCATCCATGAAGACTCCACTTTTCTGACCTTTGAGAGGTCTTCACCTCTCAAAGACCCCACCTCTTAATACCATGAAACTGGGGATTAGATTTCAACAAATGAATTGAGGGGGTCAGGGCAGGGGAAGCACATTCAGTCTATAGTAGCTAGTCTCTAAAGAAAGCAGAGTGAATTGAAGGCCAAGTATGGTAGTTATCTTCCATGATCCTATTCTTCTAGATTAGGATTTCTTAACTTTTGAAAATGTTATCAGGCTCTTTGGTTCTCATGAAGGCAATTGCACTTTGAAGAATAGCGTTTTCTAAACACATAAGATAAGATGTAAGGATTAAGACTATCTTAGTCTGCATGGGCTGCCATAACAAAATACTATGGACTGGATGGTTTAAATAACACAAATTTATTTCTCATGGTTTTGGAGGCTGGGAAGTCCATTATCTGGGTGCTGCAAGATAGATTTTATTCTGTGTCCTCTTCTGGTGGCTTGTAGATGGCTGCCATCTTATTATGTGCTCATATGACCTCTTCTACATGTGAGAATGGGCAAAGAGAGAGAGCTCTCATGTATCTCTATTTATAAGAACACTAATTCTATTGGATCAAGGCCATTGTGATCTCAGTAAAGCTTAATTACCCCCTTATATTTCTCATTTCCAAATACGGTCACATTGGTGGTTAGGATTTTAACATATAAATTTGGGGGTGAAGGGCACCATGCAGTCCATGGCACAAAGGAAATGAATATTACAATAGATTATCAAAATATTTTAAGAGTGTAATATAATAAAATATATACTTGTTTATTAATAGACATAATGGTGAAGTTAATGCCTACTATACTTTAAAAGCAGTGATGAACATAAATAATATCTTAAGATATGAACTGAGATGTAGTATAAACGTATCTGTGATTATTTGGTGACCAAATCATAGATATGCTTAATACTACTGTGGTTTGATTTAAATTGTTGTTAAGTTAGTGGAAGTCAAGCTGAAATTTTTTCCCCATTGACATTTGTAGATCAGCTCTGCCCTTCTATCTTAGGACTCCTTGCTTTAGACACTTCTCAACTGCTCAGGGGTCAAGGTGGTGCAAAAAACAGCAAATATTTCATTTTTACTTGCCTCTAGATATCCACTGGGCCTTTTATTGAGAAACACCTATGTATATCAAGATAGAATGAATCTAAAACTTAATGCTCTCTAGTTTTCATGATGCATGTGGCATTCAAAGGGCATGATGCATCAAAACTAGACTTGAACCAGACA
Source organism: Homo sapiens (assembly GCF_000001405.40). Taxonomy (NCBI): domain Eukaryota; kingdom Metazoa; phylum Chordata; class Mammalia; order Primates; family Hominidae; genus Homo; species Homo sapiens. Next base: position 36,186,547 of record NC_000023.11, read on the forward strand.
TTTTGCTATTTGGTTGAGATACAGCCTTGAATGTCTGTCCTGAATTAACTTCATGAAGGCTTATGATAAACATCTCCCTAACCCTTTTGGTAGAGGTTTGAGTAGGAAATCACTTTTTGGGTTGATTTAGTCATACCCTTAAGCGAATCAATCCAATGCCATTTTTATCATTTTAGCTTGAAAAGTGATGCATACCACTACTGCAGAGGAAAAAGAAATATTACCCCTTCACACCTCAAAAGTAGTTTCCACTCCCTGACTCTGGGCCACTACTGGGTTAGCAGGAAATATTTCACTGGTTGTTCTACAGTATTTTTTTTTTTTATAATTTTAGCCTCTTTTGATTCTATTTTTTCCCTAAGGTTAAAGACTTACTGTTCTTTTAATTCAACAATAGTTTATGAGCATTTAGAAAGTGGTAGTGTGGACTGAGGTGCAAGGATTAACAGAAAGGTAAATAAAGTTATTTTCCATTCTGTCTTTGGGACCCCGAAGTTTTGTAAAAATGTTAGATTTATCACTGGCTTTCTAGACTCAGAAACATTCATCAGGTAAAATAGAATTTTTCCAGTCAAATTATTTCATCAAATTATTTTCTGATGTCTTTTGTAATCATGATAACCATTGGATTCATTAGCAAGTCAAAACAAATATCTAGGTCTGCAATGTGTTCTGTCTAGCTTAAACAGTCAATGAATTGTTCTGGGTTTGAGAGTCTCTTTTTGGGGATGAGGCAACTCTGATTTCTTCAAAAGGTACTTTCCTTACTTGTTTCCAACAAAATAGGTAAAGACAAGGAAAAAGATATGAAGCCCAAATTGGTCTGCTTTTCTACTCACTATAATAAACATGATTGAACTAGAGATTACAAGGATTGAACAAAATGAGGTTTGGAAATTATCTGTATATTTTAATCAGGCTTTCTACCCAGAGTTCCAATATCAAAGAAATAGCAATGGAGCCAAATATGGAGAAATAATAAGCAGTCTTTGTTATTCTTTCTATTCTGTATGGTCTCCCTTATAAATGCTAAGATATCCATTTATTGTGTCTATAGCAGTGGTAAAATGTTTATCAAATGTGCAAATTATGTAAAATAATAAATGTTTTTTTAAAAAGGTATTACCTTTTTTTAAAAAAGATATAATTTATAGTGCTAACCAGAATACCTGTGAGTATAATTAAGCCACAGAATAACTGTAAGAAGTGGTAAGTAACCTCATTACAAATGTGGTGTAAAGAAAATACAGTACAGTGTTACTCATCAAAATCAAATGGTGAAAAGGAATGGATAACTTTAGAATAACTTTACATGTAAAGAGTCAAAATATTTTACAGCATCAAATTCAGGGAAAAGCAGATGTCAAAGTGAGCAAATGTGGGGTTTTGTGTTCTCAGAAAAAAATCACGTAATCAATATCTCTAAACCAAAATAGTAATTGACAGCTTATTGAGCAAAATAATCATGAATATTACAAGAAGAGTGATATGGGTGAAATTGATGGGTTCTGGAAGACCTGGAACCTTTCAAGGGAGGCAGTTGCTTCAGGCTGTGATCTACTAGTTTGTTTTTAGAAATGCAATCAGAAATTAATCAAATTCCGAAGTCTTCTTATACCTTTCTAAGAAACAAGCAAATGTGGAGATAATAAACTTAGAGAAGGAAATTTTATCAAGAAAGCAATTTCTAGAACCACTTTTGGAAAAAGTACCTATTTAGTCCTAAATTGAGATCATCCACGTTTTGAGTCTTTGGATTAGGGTTTCTATTATTATCAAATTTGTACTTCTCTATAGCACTGTATTTTAAAGTGAAAATAATTATTTTATCAATTTTTTTGAAAAGAGTGGTGGAAATATGGACGTTTGTTAGTTTTCTTTTTGTATTTTTATGTTTTTTAATTTCTAAAACAATGTGAACATCAAATAATATTTGAAATATGTCTATGGTCTTTTCATATCATTTGTACTTAGCCATAACTTTCAAGGCTCTATATGATTTAACTAATATGAAGAATTGTTTTTGAGTTTTGTTTGTGTTGTTGATGTTGTTTTCCTATTTTCTTGTGTCAGTGATGATATGAGTAGCAGTGGGAGTGACACTGATCAGGGCTGTTCCGATTCCCCAAATGTCTTACATACCTGTGAGTACCTAAATAAAAGTTTTTATTTGTTTTCATGTCTGATTTTTATATGCAAAGCATAATATGAAATGAGATATTCAACAGGGATGGTTACAAGAATAGACAGAGTAGTAAGCCCTGGGGATTGCTGGCTGATTTGAGGCTGAAGCATAGGTCCTGAGTCTTTTCCCTTGATGACCCTTTGGACAACTCTGCACACATCTCTCCTTTCACTGCCAGTCTACTTCCCTCCAATGTACAAATAATGTGTTTAGATATATGGCCTATATGTCTCTTCTGGCTTATTCCAAATTGTTTAAACTTATTTTGGGGACAGGTATCACCAAGTTTAGAGTTGTAAGGGGAGCATTTTATTTCATAAAATTACTTTATGAAATAACTATAGGTCTAGAAAAGATGGATATAATGATCGGTAGAACAAATGGACATAGGAATGTTCTGGTTATCTAGAGCTGTAGAACAAACCACCCCAAATATACTGGCATAAAACAACACAAATTAATAATAATGGTTATCTCTCATACATCTGGGGTGACTGGGCTTAGCTGTGTGACTCTAGCTCGCGGTCAAATGGAGGCTGGGGCTTGAGTCCTTTCAAAGTCTTCTTCACTCACATGTCTGGCTGTTAATGCTGCCTTTTGTTTGGGACATCTGCTGGGGCTCTTGGCCTGAACACTTATTCATGGCTTCTCTATGTGGCCCAGGCTTCTTTATGGGATCTCGTTAAGTTCTAAAGTGAGGTGAACCAAAAAAGAAAGAGTTGGCAGAATTCAGTTACATTATTTGATCTAGTGTCAAAAATCACACTGCTTCACTTTTGCTGCATTCTAGCATACAATTTGTAAGGATCAAGTCACTAAGGCTGGCCCACTACATCATCATATTTAAGGCAATATCAGATAATGTGTGGACATGTTTTAAAACTGCTAGATAGATAAATGGAGCTCTATGGCACAATAAGTTAGTGTGCCATACTTAGATAGATAAACATATAGATAATACATCCTTTGTTTCCAGTTTAAGTTATCCATTGTACCCTGTGAAACATTGCATAGTCCACACAAATTTGAAGATTCTTGGATGACCACTTTGTTTCACATATCCTGGCTAATTTTACACATTAGTGAAATTCTTCGTAATGAAATTATGTATTAAGGAATCTTTATAGAGGGTCATAATTAAGCATTGTTTCATAACAAGGTTGATCTAGGGTCACTGTATTTTCATTAACAAATGTACATATCATCTTCTAATCTTACATGCTAATGTTATGAACATTTTTTGATACCAAAACTTTAATCACTAAATGAACAGCACTTACAAAATTATATGTCAACAAGCTCTGTTTATGTTTTGCTAGCAATTAAGTCCACTTTTATCAGAGAGTTCTTCTGCTCCATGCATACTGTTCACCTGGGAGTGAAAGGAACTTCAAGCCTAGAGCTCCGCTTTCTTCCCTTTAACATGCACGTGCGCTACTGTGTCATCATCTTGAGCAACAAAAAGGTGAGAACAGAATTGTGATCTGTGTGTTTACACGAGCTGTCACTTTAATGGAGTAACGAACAGCAGGTGACTTGAAGGCAACTGAAGACTCTAGAAATGTGGATGATTTCAGCTCTCAAGTTACTAAGCAAAGAGCTTATCCTCAAGAATATCCACAGTTACACTAGTTGTGGGTAAATTTTATAATAGCTGCATAAAGCAGTCCCATGGGAGCAGAGTGACCTTTTTGTGGCTCTATTTGTATTAGTTATCCATAGCTTTGTAACAAATTATCACACACCAGGTGGCTTAAAACAAGACATGCTTATTATCTCACAGTTACTGTATGTCACAGGTCCAGATATGACCTAGATAGATATTCCGACGACAGTCTATCAAGTCTCCATTCAAGGGATTGACCAGAGCTGGATTCTCTTCAGAGGTTCAACTGAGGAAGGATCTGCTTCCAAACTCCCTCAACTTGTTGGCAAAATTCATTTCCTTATGTCTCTGGGATCCATGCCACCTACACTTTCAAAACTAGCAAGGGAGAGAGACAGAGAGAGTTAGAGAGGGGGAGAGAGACAGAGAGGGTTAGAGAGGGGGAGAGACACAGATGTGAGAGAGAAAGAGAGAGAGAGTTAGAGCCACCACTGAGGGAAGGTTTATAGCATTACCTGCTTCCAGAGAGACACTGCCATGTGTTGACCTTAGGAAGAAATTTATAACCCCCAGGATGTAGTCCCAAATTTATCATCAGTTATATGTACACTAAATTGAATACATATACAGTGAAAAATGGTAATTGGAAAGAGGTATTGTACTTACCTGGTGTCTATGGCAGTATTTACATGTGAAAAATAATATACCTATTAGAAATGTAAAATATAGTTTAATTTTACACTTAAAATTACCACTTAGAAGGAAAAAAATGCCTTTTTATAGTAATGCTGAAACTTGTTTGTTAAATTCTTTTAAAGGAGATCAGGATTTAAGTAAATTCCTGCATATATAAAATTTGTGAAATGTAATAACTATATTGTGACCAGTAGTTTGATCAAATACTTTACAGTCACTTTTGTATATTAATTTGTAATATGACCCAACAAAATACTAGAGTTAATTCTCAATAGCATAGTAACAAGGTTGATTTTATTCTTTGACTTAGTATATTGGAATATTAATATTAGCTTACACAAATTTAATATAATTAATCAAAATATAATTAACATGTTATCTCAATTTACTAAAAACTAAATCTTGCTTACGTATGTTTTGTCCTTGTCAGAGAAAACATTAAAATAAAACAACAATCTTGAAATTATACTGCTATCAATTGAGAAACAATGCCCTCAGTACAAAGTATTGCATTGAATTAATGTTTCTTACATGAAGAAGATCTATTGTTTTACACGTTGCTAATTATATTAAAAATATAATAGTTAATCAAACATGCAAGCTCACCTAGTTAGCTACTGTTCTTTTTAAACGGGCCGTAACTGCTTTACCATTAAGAACCACCTGTTGGCCGGGCGCAGTGACTCAAGCCTGTAATTCCAGCACTTTGGGAAGCCAAGGTGGGCAGAATACCTGAGGTCAGGAGTTTGAGACCACCCTGGCCACATGGTGAAACCCCTTCTCTACTATCAATACAAAAATCAGCTGGGCATAGTGGCACGCACCTGTAGTCCCAGCTACTCAGGAGGCTGAGGCAGGAGAATTGCTTGAACCTGGAAGGTGGAGGCTGCAGTGAGCCGAGATCATGCCACTGCACTGTAAGCCTGGGCAACAGAGTGAGACACTGTCTCAAACAACAACAACAACAACAAAAACCACCTATCGAAAACTGAAATTAGACCCCTACTTGATAGTTTTCCATGTATAAAATTGAAACATTGCTACCAACACTGTTACGAAGCAAAGACTATTTCTTTCATTCTGGCTCTTCTGTTTGAATTTTCAAATAAAGTTGAAAAGATTTAAGGAACAACTATTTAAAAACAGAATAGTTTTACAAATCTTACATTAGTGTTCATAGAAATTCTTAACTAAGGGAGAAACCTATGAAAGCCCTGAAAATTCGTGCTATCAAATGCTACAGAGCCAATAATGTTTTGCTCCAACATGGAATGGAGCAAATTAGGTGGAGGAATTTCAAGCAGAATCAGTGTCCAGTCCCTGGTGAATTGTACCTTTTAGGAGGAGGGGTTGACAGACCCCTTTACAAAGCACACAGACGTTGCAAAACACACAATGATGTATTGATAAAACCTTGGGGTTCTGTCTTCACTGTAGTGTCTGTAGTGTCTAGCATGTGAACACCCACTCTGTGTGATCCTGGGTTTTTATGCAGTAAACCACTTGGCATTGCTGAGCTGACCTGTGTAAGGGAGGCAAGGGTATAAAAGAGGATGCCTGACCTGGGGGCTGAGTTAACAGCGGGTTCCAGTTACAGCCATTTGCTGTGATATAGCCAGCCCCCTCCCAACAAACCTTCAGTGTTTTTTATTGACTTGACCCAGAGCCTCCCTTCCACCTGGTAGATTTATCTTCTGGCCTTTTTTGTTCTCTGTCTACAAACCTTGCTTAGAACAAATTGAGACCAAAGTCCAGGCATTGCTGAATTGAAGAAGCCAGAAGGGAGGTCAGCATCCCAGAATAACTTATGTGAATTGGTCAGGCCCACACCAGGGTGCCATATACCAAAGTGAGTTTCAGCCTTGCCAAGTCAAGTTGGAGGTTAACAGGGAAAGCATGCCCACTCCCAGGTAGAAGACCCTGCAAGGCTTTCTTGTTGATTTATGGCCTATAATAATTTAGCCTAAGGGTATGAAGCACCAGTTCTTAAGTATATTAATGTCACTTTGGCCATCTCCCATATATTTGCATAAATCAATAGGGCCACTCCTCTGATTCTTTCCACTCTCAGTCATTTCGTTTTCTCTCAGTCTTTTGTGTCTTCCTGTGTCTGGTGATGCAGAGATTAAGTTGGCAGTCTCTAATATGCATATATTTAAATATTTTCCAAGAATGTGCAACTTTTTTCAATTATAATGAATGTTTATAACATTAATACAGAATTTAACAGTATTGATTTTGCTTGTTTATTGAATGTGAAGGTAAAAACATTAAACTATATTATGCTAAAATCTTTATGTGATTTTATATTTAAGCAGACTAACTTTTGTTTTATTAGAGATATATTTATAGCTTGAGGAACTGAGTATTATTTGAGGATGCTTTCTTTTTTATTTTTCATGATTTATAATGGCAAGCCCTATTTCATTTGTCCTTTGATTTTTTTATTCAATTTTCACAACTTTTTTCTTTTTTTGGGGAATGAGGATAACTACACACCTCCCTACAGGTAACACCCCTGAATTCCTGGGGAAACATAGGCAAGATGAAATCCCATTTGGCCTATAATTGCTTTGAAGCATTTGTTAACCTCATAAAGCCTGCTGCCAATATGGGGGCAGGTTATGTCAACCTTGAAGTCTCTGTCAATGTGGCATATACTCACAAAGTTACAAAGATTCTCAGCTCCCTTCATACTGCAAGGCCTTTTTGCTCTTCAGCCACCCTCCTTTCTCCTATTAACCAGAAAACCCTCATCCTACAATAAGCAGTGCAGACTTTTTCAAGATAAACATGAAGAGAAAAATCTGAAAATTAGAATTTTGTACCTAATTGTCAGTTATTTATTTTTGGGCTACTCTCTTGGTTCCTTATCAACGGTACTATCAGATAGACTGTAAAGAGTCCACATGCCTGAGGTACCAACATTTTAGCTCTAGGGAATATCACCTCACATGACATGGCACAGCTGAGGAAACAGTAATTGCTATTTTCCAAAATCAATACTATTTTTATGGACCCTCACATTCTACAAAGAAGTTGTAGAATATAGAGAATGACTATATCACATTTTAAAAAGTTTGTATCCTTCAAGCTGGATTTTAATAATTTCATTTTATTATTCTGCTCACTCTTCCCAACATAGTTTAATTCACCAACAGTATACAGCCAATTTTCTAGGCAGAGAGAGAGTGAACATATGCAAAATCCATGATCCCTGCACTCAAGGGACTCACATTCCAGTTGTATTAGTCCATTCTTGCACTGGTCAGCGCTTGGTCCCAACCATTCAACAAGTCTCTATGAAGTTCCAGACTTTCCCTCATCTTTCTATCTCCTTCTGAGCCCTCCAAATGGCTCCAACCTCTGCCTCTTACCCAGTTCCAAAGTCCCTTCCACATTTTCAGGTATCTTTATGGCAATACCCCAATTCTGGTACCAATTTTCTGTATTACTTCATTCTCACACTACTATAAAGAACTACCTGGACTGGGTCATGTGTAATGAATGGAGATTTAATTGGCTCATGGTTCTGCGGGCTGTATAGCCTTCTGCTTCTGGGGAGGCCACAGGAAACTTACAATTGTGGCAGAAGGAGAAGGAGAAACAAGCATGTCTTCACATGGCTGGCAGGAGAGAGAGAAAGAAAAAGAGTGAAGGGGGCGGTGCTACACACTTTGAAACAACCAGATCTTGTGAGAACTCTATCATGAGACAGCACTAGAGGAATGGTTCCAAACCATTAGAAACCACCCCCATGATCTAATCACTTCCTACCAGACCCCACCTCCAACTTCGGGAAATACAATTCAAGATGATATTTGGGTGGAGACACAGAGCCAAACTATATCACCAGTGGAGAAGGCAAACTTGCATAGGGCTGGCCTATCTCACACAGAAACTTTGCATGAATTTGAAATATAAGGGCCTCCTACTGGTGAATTAGAGAAGCTTACTGAACATATGACACAGTCAAATGAATTAGAAAAATGCATCTCTTACTCAGTGGATGGTGCTTTGTGATGGGACATCCTTGTCCTTGACAAAATGCCCCCATGCAAGGCATACTCTTTGCTAGTATACACAGTGTCCTGAAACATGTCCGCTAATTTCTATAAAACAGTTAGACAGATTGTGACAATTTCTAGAATAGAAAGAAGAATTCATTTCTGTATGATAGTGAAGACAGGGATAATTGATTAATACAGGAGTTTGATCAAGGATGAGTTGCCAATAAAACAAAGAGACTGGGCAGGAGAGATGGGTACTCCCAAGAAGATTCTATGAACACAGCAAAACAGCTAAGTATGAAATCTCATGTACACATGGATTAATGATTCTGAGAATGGTTTCTTGGAAGTGATAGAAAATGGGTTGGATGGATAAATCAGACTGATATTGAGTAGGGCAGTTAATTTTAAGTTGAATTATTTATAATCATTATAATTATTATTGAAGCAGGAATCCAGTGGAAGAATAGGCAGGGCCTGATTTCATCTTTGTTTTAGAAAGCATCTTTGATGCCAAAACAGATAGTAGATTACAGGTTGGAGAAAGGAACTGGAGATAGGGAGACTGGCTAGGAGACTTTTGTATTGTGTTACACTGCTTCACATACTCCCTTTCTATACTGCCCTCGGCTATTCCCTCTGTAATTCTAGCAAGGGATTCCAAGGACCACAGTTTATATTGCTATAAAGATCAAACTTAATGACAGTTTGAGTGATGTTCGCATTTGAAGGGAAGGAAGTTTTCATTCACTTGCAGAGCAAATTGGTGACACATTTGAGTGAAATGGTTCTGAAAAATGTGGTGATAAAAGGAAAGAGAGACTGTAGATTTCATTGCCACAGTGACTTCTAAAGTCTAAGGACAGCTTCCAGGTTTTTGAGGAAATAATGTCCTAAAACATACCACCAATTATTATTAAACAATCCATTAATAATTTATGTCATTTAAATATATTTTATCTTCTCAAAATGTCTGTGGAATAATCTGTAAGGCCTGCAATTAATGTTGTGTCAAAATTTTGTTAAGAAAATTGAACTTTTAAGTGCAGGTATACAAATCTTTTCATGAGTCTTCTCACCCTCACTGAGTTTCCTAGCTCCTAGCTCACTGCCTTAATTATTATAAATTGTTCTATAAAAATATAATTTTAAATAACAGTGATTATTCTTACTAATCAGGTTTATATTATAATTTTGATAGCCAAATGGTGACCTATAATGATTAATGATCTCTCTTTAGCATATGGAATTTAACATTTCGAATTTTAGCTTAACTTCCATGTGCCTGTTTAGCCATCAAAATAATATAATATTGCTCAGCCTTCTCAAACAAATAAATCACAAAACGGGAAAGATCCGAACCCAAAATAAGAGAATAAATACGATTTAATACCTATGAAAAATCAAGGAGATTTTCTGTCTAGGTAAATGCACTTTTTTGGGGGAAGATTGAGGTTATTTGTATCTAGAGGGCATCCGTGACTTGTCAAAGGTTACCCAGCTAATTAGTGGCAGAGCTGGGATTAAAACTTTTGTGCCAATTCAGTGTTTGTATCCCTCTTTTCTGGGTAATTAACAGCTGGTCTTCTTGCAAATTTGCATGTAACTGTGCTATTTGAGGACTGCATTTAACTAGATACACAAGAGGAACAAAATATCTTCTGTAAAAGTTTCTTATAATTGACAATGAGCTTTGGCATCTTTCTGGAAAATACAATATATTTCTAATTAAGCATGCCAAACAGAAGTTATGAAATTAAAAGCAGGAAAAACTTGTATAGGTGATTATTAGAACAGCTCATGATGACAAGCGTCTGCTAAGTGTCAACTAATTTCATTTCCCTTGTCAAAGCTTCTAGATTTGGAATATGAGAGGATTTTCTACTTTAAAACAGCTTTTTATTTATTGCATTTCTGTGCCTTTCATGGTCTAATTTTATTCCAAGAAAAAGTGGAAGCAAATAATCAAACTATAGTAGAGATTATGGCTCTTCTGAATAATGTTCTGACACAGGCAAGATAAGCATTATTTTCGATTATATTAAGTGATTTTTTAATACAAAGAATATATTGATATT